>NC_000003.12:168705574-168857089 GCF_000001405.40 Homo sapiens | reverse complement strand
GACCTCCCAAATCTGGAATGGGTAGCATTCCAAATGTTTCCTAAAGCCAGCGCAAATCTGGCTTTAAGACATCATCTATTGCTGAAAACGAGGCAGTGACCTAGCAAAAAACACATTCAATTGCAAACAAATCTCTAAGCAAACATATCCAATAAAAACCCAAACAGGCCAGACAGAAAAGACTGAAATAAATAACTTCCCCTTTAATACAAAGACACAGATGTACATCCACAAGTAACAACAGCAAATTGTTGGGGAGGAACCATGACCTTCCCAAATGGCCAAAGCAAGGAGTCAGTGACTGTTCCTAATAAGATGGTAACAAGTGAACTCTCAAGATTTCAAAATAACAGTTTTAAGAAAACTCAGTGATATCTAAAATAACACAGGAAAATAATTCAGAAGTTTTCAGAGAATTTTAATAAAGAGATTGAAATAATTATTAAAAATCAAATAGAAATCATGGAACTGAGAAATATATTTGCCGAACTGAAAAACTGATTAGAGGCTCTCGGCAGCAGAATGGATTAAGCTGAGGAAAGAATCAGTACACTCAAATACAGGCTATTTGAAAATATACAAAAACACAGCCAAAGGAAAAAAACAATAAAAAGAAATGGGGAATGCCTATAAGATGTAGAGAATTACGTCAAAAGAGCAAATTTAGGAATTGTTTGTGTTCAAGAGGGAGCTGAGAAAGAGCAAGGGGGTAAAAAGCTTACTCAAATAATAGCAGGAAATTTTCCAAAACTTGAGAAAGATATAAACATCCAAGTATAGGAATGTTTGAGAACATAAAACAGGCTTGACCCAGGTAAGACTACCCCAAGGTATATAATAATCAAATTCACAAAAGACAAGGACAAAGAGAGCATCCTAAAAGCAGCAAGATAAATAAAGCAAATAATATATAAAGAAGCTCCAATTTGTCTAGCAACAGATTTCTCAATGAAAGCCATACAGGCTAGGAGGGAGTGGGAGGATATATTCGAAATACTCAAAGAAAGAGAGAAAACACTGTCCAAGAATACTGTATCCAGCAAAGCTATCCTTCAAATAAAAAGGAGAGATAGTCTTTCAAATAAAAGTTGAAGGAATTTATCATCAGCAGACTCATCTTACAAGAAATGCTAAAGGGGGCTCTTCACTATGAAAGAAAAAATATTAATGTGCAAAAAGAAAACATTTGAAGATACAAAACCCACTGGTAAAAGTAAGTACACAACCTTGGAATACTCTAACACTGTAATTGTGGCATGCAATTCACTCATAACTCTAGTATGGAGACTAAGAGACAAATATGTCAAAACAATAATAGTTACAGCAACCTATTAAGAGATAGGTAATATAAAAATATATCAATTGATACAACAAAAGGTCAAAATAAGGGGCAATAGTATTTCCTCTGTTTTTATTATTTTCTTTGTGATCAAAGACACATTGTCATCTGTTTAAAATAAGTTGCTATAGCCATAGGATGTTTGTTGTAAGTCTTACGGTAATCACAAAGCAAAAACCTACAGTAAATACACTAAAAATAAAAAATAATGAATTAGAGTATACTACCAGAGAAAATCAGTACACCACAAAGGAAAGAAAGGAAGAGAGGAGCTACAAAATCACCAGGAAACAAATAACAAAATGACAGTAGTAAGTCATTGCTTATTCATAATAACCATAAATACAAATAGACTCAATTATCCAATGAAAAGACATAGAGTAGCTGAGTACACAAAAAAATAAGACTCAAATGTATACTGCTTACAAAAAACAAGCCTCACTCAAAAAGACACAAATACACTGAACGTGAAGGGATAGAAAAAGACATTTCATGCTAATTGAAACCAAAAAGGAGCAGGAGTAGCTATATTTATATCAGATAACATGCATCACAAGCCAAAGACTGAACAAAAAGACACAGGTCAAAAGAGTCAATTCAGTAAGAAGACATAACAATTATAATGTCTATGAACCCAACACAGCAGCACCCAAGTATATAAAATAAACATTAATAGATCTAAAGCAAGAAAAAGGCTGCACTATAACAGGAGTGGACTTTACCAAACTACTCTCAGTAATGGACGGATAATCTAGGCAGAATATCAACAAAGCAGTGTAAGAGTTAAACTACACACTAGACCAAATGGGGTTAGCTGACATATACAGAACCTTTCACCCAGTTGCTGCAGAATATACATTCTTTTCATGAGCACATGAAACAGTCTCCAGAAAAGACCATATCTCAGGACACAAAAAAAATCTAAAAAATTTCAAAAAAGTAGAATTATCTTAATTATCTTTTCTGACTGCAATGAAATAAAACTAGAAGTCAATAACAAGAGAAACCTTGGAAACTATACAAACACATGTTAATTAAACAACATACTCCAGAATGATCAATGGGCCAATGAATAAATTAAGAATAAAATTTTAAAATTTTTGAAACAAATGGAAAAAGAACTAAAACATACAAAAATCTATGGGATAAAGTAAAAGCAGTGCTAAGAGGAAAGTTTATAGCAACAAATGAAAGTAGAAAGACTTCAAATAAAGAAACTAATGACGTACCTTCAGGAACTAGAAAAGCAAGAACAAACTAAACTCACATTTAATAGTAAGAAAGAAATAAAAGATAACACCAGAAATAAATGAAATTGAGACTTAAATAAATACAAAGTAGCAGCAAAATGAAAAGCTGGTTTTTTGAAAAGATAAACAAAATGAACAAGCCTTTATTTAGTCTAAGAAAAAACAGAGAAGACCCAAATAAATAAAATCAGAAATACAAGAGGAGACATAATTGATAATACAGAAATTCAAAGAATAGAGACTGTTACAAACAAGTACATGGCAACAAATTGGAAAATCTGGGAAAAATGGATAAGTTACTGGAAATACATAAACTACCAAGATTGAACCATGAAGAAATAGAAAATCTGAACAAACCAATAGTAAATAATGAGATCAAAGTCACAATAAAAGTCTCCTATCAAAGAAAAGTTCAGGACCTGATAGTTTCACTGCTGAATTATTCCAGACATTTAAAGACCTGATACCAATTCTACTAAAATTCTTCGGCCAGGTGCCATGGCTCACGCCTGTAATTCCAGCCCTTTGGGAGGCCAAGGCGGGTGGATCACCTGAAGTCAGGAGTTTGAGACCAGCCTGGTCAACATAGTGAAACCCTGTCTCTACTAAAAATACAAAAATTAGCTGGATGTGGCAGTGTGCACCTGTAATCCCAGCTACTCAGGAGGCTGAGGCAGGAGAATTGCTTGAACCCAGAAGACAGAGGTTGCAGTGAGCTGAGATCACACCACTGCACTCCAGCCTGGGCAACAGAGCAAGACTCTGTCTCAAAACAAACAAACAAACAAACAAACAACTCTTCAAAAAAAGTGAAGAAAGGGGAAACTCCTTCTACAAGACCAGCATTACCCTGATGGTACCAAAACCAGACAAGGATACAACAAAAAAAAGAAAACTACAGGCCAATATATCTGATTAACATAAATGCAAAAATCCTCAAAAAACATAAGCAAACCGAATTCAACAACACATTTAAAAGATTATTCACCATCTTCATCAAATGGAATTCATTCCAGAGATGCAAGGATGGTTTAACATATGCAAATCATAAATGTTAAACATAACATTAATAGAACCTAAAACAAAAACCATATGATCATTCAATGAATCCTGAGAAAACATTCCATAAAATTCAACATTCCTTGGTGATAAAAATACTTAACAAACAGGGGATAGAAGAAATATATCTCAAAACAATAAAGGCCACACATGACATACTCAAAGTAACATCATACTAAATAAGGAGAAATTGAAATCCTTTTCTCTAAAATCTGAAACAAGACAAGGATGCCCACTTTCACCATTTTTGTTTAACATAATACTGGAAATTCTAGCCAGAGTAATCAGTCAAGAGAAAAAAATAAAAGGCATTCAGATTGGAAAGGAAGAAATCAGATTATCCTGGTTTGCAGACAATGTGATTTCATATTTAGAAAAACCTAAAGACTCCACCAAAAAACTCTTAGAACTGATAAATAAATTCAGTAAATTTGCAGGATACAAAAACAGTACACAAAAATCATTAGTATTATATACAACATCAGTGGACAATATGAAAAAGAAATTAAGAAATGTACAATGACTATAAAAATTATAAAATACATAGAAATAAATTTAACTAAAGAAGTAAAAGATGAGCCGGGCGTGGTGGCTCATGCCTGTAATCCCAGCACTTTGGGAGGCAGAGGCAGGCGGATCACAAGGTCAGGAGATCGAGACCATCCTGGCTAACATGGTGAAACCCTGTCTCTACTAAAAATACAAAAAATTAGCCGGGTGTGGTGACGTGTGCCTGTAGTCTCAGCTACTCAGGAGGCTGAGGCAGGAGAATGGCCTGAACCCGGGAGGTGGAGCTTGCAGTGAGCCGAGATGGTGCCACAGCACTCCAGCCTGGGCAACAGAGCGAGACTCCGTCTCAAAAAAGGTGGGCAGATCACAAGGTCAGGAGATCGAGACCATTCTGGCTAACACGGTGAAACCCTGCCTCTACTAAAAATTCAAAAAATTAGCCGGTCATAGGGGTGGGCGCCTGTAACCCCAGCTACTCAGGAGGCTGAGGCAGGAGAATGGCATGAACCCGGGAGGCGGAGCTTGCAGTGAGCTGAGATTGTGCCACTGCACTCCAGCCTGGGCGACAGAGCAAGAACTCTGTCTCAAAAAAAAAGAAAGAAAGAAAGAAAGAAGTAAAAGATCTCTCCAAGGAAAACAATAAAACATTGATGAAAAACAACTGAAGAGGACACAACAAATGGAAAGACATTCTGTGCTCATAGATCGAAAAATTTAATGTTGTTTAAATGTCAATACTATCCAAAGCAATCTATAGATTCTATGTAATTCCTACCAAAATATCAATGACATTCTCAAAGAAATAGGAAAACAATCCTAAAATTTCTATGGATGCACAAAATACCTCGAATTGCTACAGCAATCCTGAGCAAAAGGAACAAAGGAGGAGGCATCACACTACGTGACTTCAAAATATACTACAAAGATATAGTAATCAAAATAGCATGGTAGTGGCATAAAAAGAGACATATAGACCAATGGAACAGAATAGAAACTCCAGATATAAATCCATGCATTTACAGTCAACTCATTTTTGCCAAACACACAAAGAAAACACTTTGAGGAAAAGACAGGCTCTTCAATGGATAGTGGTAGGAAAACTAGATAATCATGTGCAGAAGAATGGAACTATACCTCTATCTTTCACAATATACAAAAATCGACTTAAAGTGGATTAAAGGACTTAAATGTAATAAGACATGACACTATGAAACTATTACAAGAAAACACTGAAGAGGAGCTACAGGACATTGGGCTAAGCAAGGTTTTTGGGGGCAGGACCTCCACAGTGTAGACAACAAAAGCAAAAATAGACAAAGGAGATTGTATCAAGCAAAAAGCTTCTGTATAGCAAAGGAATCAACCAACAAATGGAAGAGACAATGCACAGCATGGGAGAAAATGTTTGTGAACTATCCTTTTGACAAGGGATAAACAACCAGAATATATATGAATCTCAAAAAAGCAAACAACCCCCCCCCCCCAGGAAATAAATAATCCAATTAAAAATGGACAAAAGATCTGAATAGTAATTTCTCAAAAGAAGACATAAAAATGGCCCATCGGTATATAAAAATTACACAACATTAATAATCAGGGAAATGCAAAGGGAAACCACAATGAGGTATCATCTCACCTCAGTTAAATTGGTTTTATCTGAAAGACAAGGAATAGCAGATGTTGGCAAGATTGTGGAGAAAGGAGAACCCTTGTACACTGTTGCTAGGAAGGTAGGTTAATATAGCTATCCTGGAAAATGACATGGGAGTTCTTAAAAATACAAAATATAGAACTACCATAGGATCCAGCAATCCCAATACTGGGTATATATCCAAAAGAAAGGAGATCAATATATTAGAGAGATAGCTACAGTTCCATGTTTATTGCAGCGCTATTCACAATAGCCAAAATATGGAATCAACCTATGAGGCCATCGATGGATACAGAACATGTGGTGTATTTACACAATGGAATATTATTCAGCCATAAAACAGAATGAAATCCTGTCATTTGCAGCAATATAAGTGGATGGAACTGGAAGTCATAATGTTAAGTGAAATAAGCCAGGCACAGAAAGACAAGTATCACATGTTCTCTCTCATATGTTGGAGGTAATAAAGGTGATCTTATGAAGATAAAGAGTAGATTGGTGGTTACCAGAGGCCATGAAGGGCCAGGGTTGGAGGAGAGGAAATAAAGTGAGGTTGATTTATATGAACAAAAATATGGTTAGATTATGGAAACAAGACCTGGTGTTTGATAAATCAGTAAGGTGACTAAACAATGATCTGCTGCATATTTCAAAATAGCTAGAGGATAATAATTATTTCCAGTATAAAGGAAAGACAAATGTTTAAGGAGACAGATATCCCACTTACCCTGATCTGATCAATATATATGACTGTATCAAGATATTACATATAACCTCAAAATATGTACTTCTTATGTATCAAATATTTAAGAAAATTTGAAAATTCTAAATTGAAAAAAGTTAAATAAAAAATTCTAGAAGTAAACAATTCATAAGTTTTTAATTGCATGCCATTCTTAGTGTGATGAAATCTGACACCCTCCCTTATCTTTCTGCTCTCTCCCACCTGGAACTTGAATCATCCCTTTGTTCAGAGTACTCACCCCATAGACTCTACCTGCTTGCTAGTCACTTAGTAGCCTCCTCAGTTTTCAGACTGACTGTGGCAGTATCACAATGCTTGTGTTCAAGTAACCCTTGTTTTAATTCATAATGACCCCAATGCACAAGAGTAGTTATGCTGGCATATTATTATAATTGTTCTATTTTATTTTTGTTGTTGTTAATATCTTACCATGCCTGTTTATAAATTAAACTTTATCATATGTATGTATGGATAGAACAAACATAATATATATAGGGTTTGGTACTATCTGTGGTTTCAGGCATCCACTGGGTATATTGAAACATATACATTAAGGGTAAGTGGGGACTACTGAATATGCATTTTTTTATGGGATACTCTTGAAACTCTAAAATCCATGAGGAAGGAAAGTAAAGGATCCCCATGTTCAGAATCCTAACCACAATGATATTCTATAGGTCAAGATAGTTGGGGCAGGAGGTCTTCATTAAATCTGGAAACAGTCTGAAAAACTAGCTTCTGTTGTGCCAAGGGATGGGGATGTATCCAGACATTGGCCCCGAGTGACCAGAATGATCTTCAGCTTGGTGTGTACATTGTAATTTAACCCAGAATTAGTTCTATCAATCTTAAATATATGATCAGCAGCACAGCCACTGAAATTTTACTAGATTTGGAAAGAAACCACAGAGAAAAACCAAGGTTCTATCTAAAGTTGTTCTTGAAGTCTTTCAGAAAACCTCCAACTTGCAATGATATAAGACGCACTTTCTGAATCTTGGACACAGTGAGGACAGTGAGGGTTAAGCTGCAGAGACCATGCCTTATGTAGAAAATTCTCTCAGTAACACCTGATCAATACTTATTCTTCTATTAGTTCAGCTGCTATTTATTAAGCACTCTTTCCATAGCCAGGGATAAAAACAATTAAAATCTGATTTTTGTTCCAATTGAGTGCCTAATTTTGTTCCTAATCTTGATATTTTTAAGTATTTTATATGTCCCTAAGAATAACCTACACTACAAGTAAGTCGTATATTCTCAATATTTTTATTCTGTATGTGCTGTGAAATTTGTAAGATCTTGAAAGATTTTTAAATGCTTTGAAAACATGTTTCATATTAGTAAAAATATCATACATTCTCTTCTATAAAGCATGGCACTTTAGAGATGTGCTTTTTGAATTCAGGCACCTTTCAGATTTTTTGCTTTTACTCAGTTTGAAGCTACTTCGTTACCAAATAAAATATTTCCCCCATGTTTTGAGATGCTAGGTTTCCATGCTGTGTATATAGTCAGTGCAATCACTACCAAAATACCAATGACATTCTTCAAAGAAACAGGAAAACAATCCTAAAATTTCTATGGAAGCACAAACAAGAAGGAGGAGAGTAGGAGGAGGAAGAGGAAGAGAAAGGATATGTATTTACACATACAAAGATGAAAAAGCATGGACACAAATCACTTCAATATCAGACATACATATGTTCATAAATGTATGCTGAGGTTGATAACCACAATTTTCCTTAACTGTTTACCCCAGAAACAAGATTCTGGAGGTCAGTAGATGGAATCAAACTGGCAGATATGTTTTCATTTATTTATTTATACATGCACGTAAACTTGAATTCATACTTTAAAATTTTGACATTTTACATAAAATTTATTCTTTCTGACTTTTCATATTATAAATATCAGAAGTCCTAGTAGCATGAGGCCAACCTTTGTGCATGACTACAGAAAACTGAGTTGGGAAGCAGTTTAGTGTCTGGCTGTAATGACAGGGCATGGAGTCTCCAATTCATACCATCCCACCATTCTTTAACATTCTTAAAGCCTGGGAGGCTTTCCAATTTGTAGCTTATATTTAGCGTATATATAAAAACTATATTTTTAGCTTATATTTAGCTTATATATAAAAACTATATTTTTAATGTCCGAAAAGTAGTCTTATATATAACATCCATTCATAATTGACTGTGTTCCAATAATCCCAAAAGGTTGAAAGATTTATTCCGAATTGGCTGTAGCAACTCTTTCAGGTGCAGTTAAATAGGGAAGAAAGAATGCTGATAGGGCAGTTGATGGGAACAGGAACCCCCCCAGATGACCTGCTTCTTCCTTCCCAGGGAGGGCTTCAGGGTGCTGGTCAACGAAACTGATAGGAAGCCCTGGGACCTTTGTCTTTCACTTCTCTGTGGATTTTTTTTTTTTAGGGGCCCGAAGCAGGTGGCTAAATTTAACACTATCTAGGGAAATGTGTGTTAATCTATCCTAAGAGAGATGTGATTGTCTTTAACAATCGTTCTCAAATTTTAACAAGCATCAGAATCACCTGGGAGGGCTTTTTAAAACAGATTACTGGGCCCCATTTCCAGAATTTCTTATTCAGTGCATGGGGTGGAGCTGAATAACTGGCATTTCTAATACGTTTCTCAAGAATGTTCATGCTGCCAGTCTAGGAACCGAGTTTGAGAAACACTTGCCTATTGACATCTGTAAGGAATTTTTTAGATTCTTCTGGACACTGTAAATGCTATATTTATTCAGAAAAGGTCAATGAAGGTAGCACCTGCTAGCAAAGCTCTTGATGGTATTCACTTGGCAGAAGCTGAATTCATGAAGAACTACAAATAATTATTAGCCTATACTACCACCTCTTACATTTCTGCCCCAGTCATACCTCCCATGAGAATCCATACACTATGTATAATATTGTAACAGAACAAACGACCAAGAAAAATAGAGAAAATACTTGAATCATCATTTTCTTTTTCGTAAGAGGCCATATCTTTGATTTTTTTAATTGGAAAGGATCTTTGAAACCACATGGTGGCAGTGTAATCACATGAGTGACAGTCTCATGGCGCCAGAGTTGAGTTTCTGAACCCACTATATATTAAGAGATAATTCTGAAAGCTAAGCATCTGCGATTTCGGCGTAAAAATTATTGGCCTGTAAAGTATAAATGACAAGTTGTAGTCATATGCCTCTACAAAAGGCTCAAAGCTTTCAATATTTTTACAATGCCTCGGACAGAATACATTTTTTCCCTTTGCTGTTTCATAGTCACAAGAACAAGCAACAGATCATTTCATGCATGAGCTATGTAACAAATTCAATCCAAAATAACTCATGCTTCAGTTTATTAAATTACTGTGATAGCAGATTCACTTCTACACTTTAATCATTTTTGATAAGTAAATTTATTTTTTTCTTTAGTATTGCTTAATTTTAGGTATTTGCATGCTCCATGTTTCTCACAACCAAGTAAAATTGAACTTCCTCAGATTTGATTACTAAAGTATCTACTTAGGTCCTTCCTTTCTAAAGTGAGGTTTTTAACGACAGCAATGAATCTTTGGCTGATTTTATTTTGGCTGGTTGACTATTAGTCTGTGCTGTAATCCAGATAGTTCCAATGTAATACAACATACACAGAATTCTTAGATGAACAGAGTGCGGTTCAAGTGCAGGGCATATTTAGCTCTTCCACTCCTTGTCATATAACAAAACATTCCACACCATTTGCAGAAATGGCAGTTTCCTGTAGGTAGGAGGGCTGGTTTAATATTAAACATTGAAAATTCTCCCTTATTTGCATTTTGATATAGTGCTTTTGGTCACCCAAGGAATAGAAACCATCAAATAAGATCTTTGCAAGTGCCAATAGCTATGGATGTCAACAGAAGAGAACAATTAATCCAGAAGCCTCCCTTGCAATAAAAGATTTCTCAGGTCCAGTTTGCTGACAAAATCTACCTTTTCCAAAGGTGATGGTTCTTCAAGACACCAGTACACAGACTTCAAAAGAAGAAGAAGAGGAAGAAAGAAGAAGAAGAAGGAGAAGGAGGAGGAGGAGGAAGAGGAGAAGGAGGAGAAGGAGAGTAGAAAGAAGAACAGAAGGAGGAGAAGGAGGAGGAAGAGCAGGAGGAGGAGAAGGAGGAGAAGGAGAGTAGAAAGAAGAACAGAAGGAGGAGAAGGAGGAGGAAGAGGAGGAGGAGGAAGAGGAGAAGGAGGAGGAGAAGGAGGAAGAGGAGGAGGAGGAGAAGGAGGAATAGGAGGAGGAGGAGAATGAGAAGAAGAGTAGGAAGGGAAAGAGGAGGAGGAGGAAGAGAAAAAGGAAGAGGAGAAGGTGGAGGAGAAAGAGGAGGAGGAGAAGAAGGACAGTAGGAAAAGGAAGAGAAAGAAGAGGAGGAGGAGGAAGAGAAGAAAGAGGAGAAGGAAGAGAAGGAGAAGAGTATATAGAGACAAGGAAAGAGGAGGAGGAAGAGGATAAGGAGGAGGAGAAGGAGAGTAGGAAGAGGGAGAGAAGAAGGAGGAGGAGGAGAAGGAAGAGGAGGAGAAGGAGAGTAGGAAGAGGAAGAGAAAGAGAAGGAGGAGGAGAAGGAGAAAGAGGAGAGTAGGAAGAAGAGGAGGAGGAGAAGAAGGAGGAGGAGAAAGAGGAGAAGGAGGAGGAGAAGGAGAGTAGGAAGAGGAAGAGAAGGAGGAGGAGAAGGAAGAGAGTAGGAAGAGGAAGAGAAGAAGGAGAAGGAAAGTAGGAAGAGGAAGAGAAGGAGAAGGAAAGTAGGAAGAGGAAGAGAAGGAGGAGGAGTGTAGCAAGAGGAAGAGAAGGAAGATGAGGAGGAGGAGTGTAGCAAGAGGAAGAGAAGGAAGATGAGGAGGAGGAGGAGAAGGAGCAGAAGGAGAAGGAGAGTAGGAAGAAGAATAGAAGTAGGTGGTGGAGGAAGAGGAGAAGAAGGAGGAGGAGAAGGAAGAGGAGAATGAGGAGGAGGAGGAAAAGGACGAGGAGAAGGAGGAGGAGGAGAGTAGGAAAAGGATGAGAAGGAGAAGAAGAGGGAATAGGAGAATGAGGAGGAGGAGGAAAAGGACGAGGAGATGGAGGAGGAGAATAGGAAGAGGACGAGAAGGAGGAGGAGTAGGAGGAGGATGGGAAGGAGGAGGAGAAGGAAGAGGAGAATGAGGAGGAGGAGGAAAAGGATGACGAGAAGGAGGAGGAGAGTAGGAAGAGGACGAGAAGGAGGAGGAGTAGGAGGAGAAGGAGGAGGAGAGTAGGAAGAGGAAGAGAAGGAGGAGAAGAAGGAGGAGGAGAAGGAGAGTAGGAAGATGAAGAGAAGGAGGAGGAGGAGAAGGAGAGTAGGAAGAGGAAGAGAAGGAGGAGGAGGAAGAGGAGAAGGAGGAGGAGAAGGAGATGGAAATGGAGAAGGAGGAGGAGAAGAAGGAGACTAGGAAGAGGAAGAGAAGGAGGAGAAGAGGAGGAAGAGGAAGAAGTGGAAGAAGGAGCGACACAAAATGTCCCTATACAACTTTCCGAATATATGCAGACTTCTCACACCACCACAAGCATTCAATTCTGATTCTGGCTGCTGAACTTACATTCTAGATCAAAGGTTTCCTAAGGGTATTTTGAATGAGACACAATACTCTCTGGGAGTATACCATCACAGAAATTTCCCCAAATGCAGGGATCTGAGGGGGAAGGCACATTAACCTAGAAAAAGATAAGATGTAAGATCTAAAATCATCCTTCTAAATGCAGACTAGAAAAGTCATTAAAACGTTTTTTTGAAGATGCAGCTATTGCTCTAATATGGATTCCATGTGCTGCACTTTATTGCCACGTGTGCTAGGTGGAATGGGAGCTCAGAGAGCCTGTCAGAGCAGTAGTGCTTCACAGTACAGCAACAGCATCTACAGTTTCATAGGTTACAACTCCCCAGGTCCTCATTGCAATTGATGGGCTGCACACAGTGTTCAGAATTTCTTATTTGTCCCACATCATTCACGTTTTTCACCTGCTCTCCTAGTTATTCCGTACTCAGTCTGCTTGTTGCATATAGGTGCTCAAATTTCATTCTCTTCCAAAACTCAAAATTAAATATTTTAAAGGATGGATATTAAAATACGGAAATATTACACTCTGCAAAAAATTAATGTCATGCCTACATTCAGCCATATACAGATTCAAGCCTATATGAGATAGATATTATTATTCTCATTTTGGATATAAAGAAATTGAGTCTTAAGAAAGGTCAAGTAACTTTTCCAAGATGACACAGTCACTAAGTGGCAGGGCTGGGATTCCTATGTAGATAGGTCTAATAACTTTAAATCTCACATTCTTAATCACTAACAGGGTTTGAAGCACTTCTCAGTTGCTACACTTCCCACCTTCCAAACAGTTATTCTTTTTCTTCTACATACTGTATCCATATGAAAAAGTTATTTCAATATTCAAGCAACTTTTCCTAAAGAGAAACAAATAATCTATATTTTTTGTCCCAGTATATATAACACACAGTCTACAAAAAGTAGGTTCTTTCTCCATGTAAATGCTACTTATTTTTAATACTGACACGTATGTTAACATTTAAAGAACATTCCATGTAATATTTATTTGCTTAATATATTAGCAATATGATGTTAGACAGTTACAACTTTATCAAAGTGTAATTACTGGGATTACTATACGAGCTATAATTCTTTTTGACAATTCAATCAGGCTTCAAAATTTCAAAAGAAGTTTAACTTGCCTCATTGATTGATTTATTCATTATTTATACCTTGTCTACTTCAAAAAAAGATTTAAAATAACTCTCACACACACAAAAGAGACCCATAAAATAGAATCGTTAAAGCAAGGATGAAAGAACAATTGTCATGCAATAAAAGGGACAAGAGAGTTATGCCAGAAACCTTAGGTTAAAGAAAATTACTGTGATCAGGCATGCTTTAGCTGTGAGTTCCTAGATATCAAAACAAAAACAAATGAACAAATTAAAATATAGTTCCTTAAAATAAAAATACTATTTTTTTTAGAAAAGACACATATCTTTGTACAGTTAAATGTAAAATGTTTTGACTTGTATGTGGTAAGAGGTAGAAGTCAAGATTAATATTTTTTCTTTATGAATATTCAATGAACCCAGCACCATTTATAGAATATATCCACTTAATGTACTCACTGTACTGTAGGGTTTTCCCTGTCGTAAACCAATTGATCTATATAAGTAGGTCATTTTCTGGACTTTTTATTACGTTTCAGTGTTCTCTTTATTCACATTTGAACCAATAATATATTATGTTAATTACTATAGCGTTATCTAGCATTGAAAGTTGTCAGCTCTGTTCTTACTCTTCAAGATTTCTTGGCTCTTCTTGGATCTTTTCTTTTTCATACTTTTTAGCATAAGTTTATTGATTCAAAATGCTGTAGAAATCTTAATTATGATTGAGTTAGAACTATACATCATTCCCAATCCATGGCCATGGTATATGCCTCTATTTTTTTAGGTCTTCTGTAATTTCTCTCAATAATATTTTGAGGTTTTAATTAGAGGCATTATACATCTTGCATCTAATTTGGTTTTTGATATTTTATAGGTCTCTAATATGATTATAAATGTCTTTTAAAAATTCATTTTTGTTTCTGATGTACAGAAATACAATTAGTCTATTTATTGACATAGTACCTAGTGACCTTGCTAAAGTTACTTATTAGTTCTAATAGTATATACCTTCTTTTAGATTTCCTAGACAAATAATCATGTCATCTAGGAATAATAGCAGTTTAATATGTTTATTTCCAGTAAGTCTTTTTCTTAACTTATTAGGCTAGACTGGACCTCCAGTGAAATATTGAAAGTTGGTGAAAGCAGCATCCTTGTCTTGTTTTCCTGACCTCAGAGGATGCTTTCAGCATTTTGCCACCAAGTATAATCTTTGCTATATGTATGTTTATAGATTGTCTTTAAAAATCAGATTTAAGAAGTTCTCTTTATTTCTTCATTTGCAAAATAAAGTGTGTATAAGTGTGGGTGTGTTTCATTGTAATGAATGTTGAATTTTGTCACACACCTGTTTTCATGCAAATATACTCACAACAGACAAAGCAAGGCAAAAGGAATCCTGAAGACATAAGATATGTAGGCAGAATAATTTATAAACGGTATTATTCTGAAACTGCCCAAGAGGCATCAGTAAGTCTTTAAAGGTCCCTTATGATCACTGTTATAAGCACTGCTGGAAATAACATACAGCAGTAATAAACCATGGGTAGCTACAGAGGCAGGCATACCATTTACTTTACCAAACGGGGTTTATTTTTCCTCTGCAGTATCCTCTTAATAATATGAGCCCCAAAGTGAAGTCTGTGTCTAGATTTATGAAGTAAGTAAAAATAGGGAGGGCCCAGCTCTTCATGCACACCAGAAGCTCTGTAATCATGCAACAGCTTGCTAGGCAGAGGATGTGGCTACACCTCTGTTTTCCACACATTAGCTAGGCCTGTTGGTGCTCATTAAATTCTTAATGAAGATGACAACACCACAACTGATGGAGGATTATAAATGCAGCTACCCCAGATGTAAAATTATCAGCCAGATTTTGAGCCCTCTATTGCTGAGCCTATGGAATTTTTATCAGAACCACCACATAAAAAGATGCATACATATGCCTGTTAACATCCTCACCTAGATTTCCCTTCCACTGTATAACTAGTTGGCTCCAGTAAGGCAGGTAACATCTCCTGCTCTGGGTAGTGACCTTTGGAATAATCAGCAACTTCAGTAAACAACCATAAGGTGGTACCTCAGAGTGCTAAAGAATAACAGGGATGCTGGCATGCTGGCAGAAGTGAAGTAGGAAATGTGCATGCACACACATATGTGCATATATATATACATATACATATGTGTATACATTTAAATCCATATATACATGCATATACATACATTTATAAACACACACATGAAAGAAAACAAGAAGAAACACTTTGAGAACATGCTGTTTAAGAAATCAAGACTCCACTGCATAGGTAAAATATATCTATATTAAGCCAAATGTTGCAGAAATGTATTAACCAATACAGAACATCAATACAGAACATCATTATGAAGCTGTCTAGTTATTTTTCTTTCTTTCTTTTATTTTTTTTCCTGAGATGGAGTTTCACTCTTGTCGCACAGTCTAGAGTGCAATGGCACAATCTCGGCTTACTGCAACCTCCGCCTCCCGGGTTCAAGCAATTCTCCTGCCTCAGCCTCCCAAGTAGCTGGGATTACAGGTGCCCACCACCACGCCCAGCTAATTTTTGTATTTTTAGTAGAGATGGGGTTTCACCACATTGGCCAGGCTGGTCTGAAACTCCTGACCTCTGGTGATCCACCCATCTTGGCCTCCCCAAATGCTGGGATTACAGGAGTGAGCCACTGCGCCTGGCCTGTCTAGTTATTTTTCTTAAATGCTGTTGTAATAGATAACTTCACAGAGGGTTAGAGCTTATTCAAAACTTCAAAACCTCACATCTCGCTTTTGAGCTGTGGTGCTTACCATGAGTGAGCTGGTGTGATCTAGTATAGGAGGGAACCTCAGTATTGCCCCTCCTAATCCGGAAAAGCAATTGGGGTTGATTGTAAAACTGACCCCAATTCTGTACCCAGACATGTATCTTTTCTCTTTATAACGTGACTTTCAACTCCTGCCTTGAAGTGGCGGACTTTATTTCCTCACCTCTTGAATCTGGGCTAGGAGTGTGACTTGCTTTGGCCAAAAGACTGCAGCAAGAAGTGATGATGTGCCAGTTCTGAGACTAGGCCTTAAGACTAGCCAGCCACATCTTGGACCAGCCAGGCCCAGCTGACCTGCCAGCTGACCACAGACATATGAGAGTCCAGAGTCTGGCCTAGACCAGCACAGCTGCCCAGTTTATTCAAGGATTCATGAAAAATAATAGTTTGTGTTTTATGTCATTAAATTTGCGGACAATGTGTGATACACAGCAATAGCTCCACAATTTTGCTCAACATTATAGTGAATAAGTTACCTACCTAAGAAAAGGATATTTTGGGGTGTTAGATTATAGCCACCATTAACACTTTTGCTATCTCATGTGAGGTACAGTCCTTAGTACTCCATACAATTACTGTAACTAATGGCTTTAGGAATCCATATTTCTGGTATAACACTTTACTTAAATGGGAGGTCTAGTTCTAACCATGGAGACACTAGTTTCTTGCCATTGACCCTTTGCATTAAAAATGGTAGCTCAAAGGAGCAGCAAGCAGCCATTACAGAAGGCAGTGGGAAGATTAAAAGTGATCCGGACATGGGATTTGGATGAAAAATGGGTTGCATCATGAATAGGCAAATTCTCTAGTAACCTTTTCATCCTCAATCAGCATTTTGGACTAAAATCAACCTCAAAAGCTCAAAGTAAAATGCATTCAGAAAAATGACTAGGACCTTTAAATTCTGCAGATTTACTGCTAGCCCAGGGGTAGCTTCCACATGAAACGCTCTCCATATTTCCATGAAGACAAAGGCAATAGTGGGGAAGGAGCCAGGGAGGTGCAATCACAGCTATTACTACTTTTAACCACTGTCACATGTGTTTCTACAGCCCAGTCCCCAAATACCAGCATCACTAGTTGCAAAGAAACATAAAATTTAAATGAGAATGAATTTCACACTTGAGGCAACAGGCAGCTTTACATTTGGATATGACATTCAGAGCTATGTAAAAATACTACTTTGCATACAGATTATTGAATGCTTTGCCTTGGAAACCAATTCAAGTTCTGTATGCCAGGACCAAGGGAAAACAGGCAATGCTGACTGGCAGACTCTTTAATTCAAATTCCAGAATTCCAAGAAGAAATGATAATTTCCCCCTAAAGCATGTATTACAAAGAAAGGAAACCAGTAAACCTTTGGGGATAGATTTTCAAGCAGGTACAATGAGAAAAATACCCTTTGAAAGACAGAGAAATTATCATTTCTCCAAAATTGGTAGTAAAAATAACTAAAAAAATTTGCATAACCATGCTAAGTAATATAGTATAGTTCACTAAATTAACTGTTTTTAAAAGTTTTTCAAAAATGATATCTGGATACTTTAAAAATTAATTGGCATAATAAAAGTTACTAGTTGTTGAAGATGCACCCTGAGAAGACTTTTTTAATATTGTAACCCTTGTCCTCACAACAATTTGTCAACATAAGCATTATTGTTATTCTGATTCAAAAGACGAGGGAAATGAAAGGAAAATAATACATAATTCACCAGAGGTCACATTTGAAATACGTTAATGATTTAAATAGTTTTCACTTAAAGAATTTTAATGCATTTAAGCCTCCTTTCACATATATTATTATTTGTCGTTTTACTGGCTCTGTGAACACATCTCAGAATTATCTAAGAATCAAAACAGACTCCTCTAGATCTTGCTTTTCATCCCCATCTCTCTTTTCTAATACTTCATAATTCTCAAAATTCCTCTATTCTTTATTTAGACATCTATTTCTTATTTATCTTCTTAGTCTCAAACTCTTGCCCAGCTAAATTTCGTGGTTACATTCAATGAGAACAACATACAGATTTTAGATGGGGGAAGGCTTCATAACTGACACAGCTTCTGCTTGGTCCTCCAGTTATCAAACTACATAAGGTTAAGGAGTTACATATGGTTAAGGAGTTAACCTTACATAAGGTTAAGGAGTTAACTAGTCTTTCCTTACTGACATTCCTCTATAGCAAATCTTTTTCTCTGCATGCATATTGTCATCACTGTCTCATTTAATTGTTAAAGACGCTCGAGTTAATGTTTATGTGTATGTGTTTTCATAAAAGAGAATTCAGTGTTAGTAGGAAAGGTAGAGTCTTTCAATACTCATTCTTTTACAGAGTAGATGCATTTTAATTCAGATAACTGAATACCACTCAAACTCTTTGACCTCAAATCTGACAAATAATGAATCTTTAATGAGTTATTAATACTCTTTGCAAAGTTTTAAAAGGCCTTGCCAGGGACTAATAAAATTATTAAAATTTGAAAAATTAGCCCTGAACAGATGAGTGGGATATTTCACTATCTTGTCAGGTGGATAACGTACTTGCATGCTAGGCTGCAGGACTGTGCCACTTTGCAAAGGGTGGCATTTGCAAACATTTGCATGAAACTCTTAAGACCATTTATCATCCAGTGCATAATCTTTTCATGTTTCCAACCAGATTTGTCTTACTTTTAATTTTCAAAAATATAGAATAGAGGAGAAAAAAATACATAAAATCCGAAATAGTGCAACTATACAATGCTCATTACTCATTATAGAGAACACATAGTTCAAGTTTGATGGCAATAATAATTTAAGAGACTAAATATAACTGGAATTGGCTTCTTTACTATTTCAACAATACTGTAATATTTAAGTGGGCATCATTGATTTCTGCATAATTTTCCAAGTTTGAACAAGATAATAAATGTAAAAATATTTTGTAAAGAATAAAGTATTAAATAATTTTTAAATAATATGATTATTAAAGATATAAATCAGACTACTGATCATATAGCCTAAATTATAGACATGGTCTTTGAAATGCAAACTTCTATGTACACTATATATGAACATTCTACCACCATCATTTTTCATTCTGCTAAATTTAAATTAAAATTTAGTAACATACACTTGAAATATACAGTGGATATTTTCAGATTCTATTGTGTAATAAAACATATTTTCCTGGTAATAGCTAACACACATTATCCTTGTGGGAATACATAGGCAATTTCAATGATTTTTCAAGATTTGAAAAATATCAGGCTGAGGTTCCAAGACACATTTATTATGTGGATATGCTCACAAAGGTAGACATACAGGAAGTCTGAGTTCTTTGCACTGTGCTAAAGTAAGGCACATTAAGTGGTCTACAGGCTTTTTTTCCTTTCTTCTTCATATGCAGACAGTTGATTAATGATGGCACAAAAACAGTGAGAGGGACAGCATCTTAAAATAGCAGAAGAATTTTTCCCCCCAAGTTTCTCTGGCCTGTCATTTTTGTAATAGAAAAAAAGCAAATACAGTATCTCAGACTGAGCATCACTATTGTCTCTGAAGCCAACAGGCAGTTATTTATTCCAACTTGGAAATAACTACCATTATCAATCAGCCATTTAAAATTGAGCCACTTCAAACTGTTTGAAAATTGATTAAATACACATATTTCATCAGATTTTCCCTTCATATTCGATCTCCCTCTGGGCCCAGGAGATGGAAATTATTCATAATATAGTCACAGACACTTTCCTTCCATATATTTCTAGAAAATGAACTACATAAGAAAGCTATAAATATATTATAGTTATGTAATTCTGTGTCACCAGTTGTAAGACACTCCCTAATTTCAGAGATGTTAAAATGTCAAAGAATTATAACAAAGAATGCATAATATAAATATGCTATGTGTGTAAGTAAGAGTGTGTGTGAGGGAGAGGTGGAGAGAGAGGTTGAGAGGGAGAAAGATAAATTAAGACTTGACAATAGAAAAAAAATTCAATGAGTTAAAACAGTTACTTTCAGAAGTATCTATCAGTACAATTATTTAAATATTCTTTGCAAGTTTTATGCGAAAGCAAATTTCCAGGTATTTGATTTCATTTCGATTATTTTTTATCTTTTGAGACAGTCTCTCTCTCACCAGGCTGGAGTACAGTGATGTGATTCCAGCTCACTGCAACCTCCGACTCCCTGGTTCAAGTGATTCTCCTGCCTCAGCCTCCCAAGTAGCTGAGATTACAGGCACACACCACCACACCCAGCTAATTTTTGTATTTTTAGTAGAGGTGGGGTTTCACCATGTTGGCCAGGATGGTCTTGATCTCCCGACCTCGTTATCCGCCCGCCTCGGCCTCCCAAAATGCTGGGATTACAGGCATGAGCCACCGCACCCAGCCCTCATTTCAATATTAATAACTCTCATGGATTAGAATCCTTCCTACCATGATTACATTGGACCTGACCTAAAATGTGAGAGATTGAGATTGAATAAGATTCATCGATAGGCAAATGACACAGGTTGATGCCCAGGAGAGATAATGTATTTTGCAGAGTCAAAGAAGACTTTATAAACATTCCATTGATAGAGAAAAAAATTGATTAGCCATTTTGTTTGCTTCAATATAAAACTTGAAAAAATTTTCCTTACTTTCCATTTGTTTCTTACCGCCAACATACATTCCAATCTCTTTCCACTGAATGTGTTTTCTATTTTTTTCCCAAATTACCAAGTTCTAAATCTAAATTCCTTCACGAGTCCTCCATTTTTTTCTTTGTTTAAGCAGCAGGTGAGAGAGTGATTATCTTTTCTTCTTGAAAGCCATCCTTCTCAGGAATTTTATATCTGAGTTCTCTTTTCTTTTCCACCTTTCTAAAGCAGGAATCACAAATACAAGTCCCTAAGGACCAAGCAGGCGACACACAGGAGTAAGTAGGTGAAGTCTCAGCAGGCAAAACACGAGGGAGTGGTAGGGACCATGACCGACCAGAAAGCACCTGCCCTACCTAAAGAAGTAAGAGTTCATTCAATGTGGCCATTTGTTCCCACACAGGAACATGGGTCCAGTGTTCCTACGTTTTCTGGTCTTTTTAAATATCGAATCACCTATTTTAAAATGAATTTGCCTGTCATTCAAAACACATCTGCAAGTCAAATTTAGTTTTAAGGCTGCGAGTTTGTACGTAAATCTTGGTTTCATTCACTGGTCTTTCTTCCTACATATCCCCCTAAATGTAGGGAACTTATTGAGTTTCTGCTCACGTGCTCTTGGCTTTCTCTTTTAGAGTTTTCTACTTAGTCATCTCACAAACCTGTATCTATTACAAAGCTTCCATGTCTACAATCCTAGTTTTAATCTTTCTTTGGAGTTCTTTGGAACTGATTTTCCAATATATTATTGTTCACGCATGTTCTGCTCAGCATAACTCAAATGATGCTACCAAATAACTTTTATTTTTGGTTTATAGCATCACCCTGTTTCTTGTACAGCTTAAAATGCCAGTCACCTTTATCTTCTACATCTAGTCACTAAAACCTGTTCAAACATGTGTGCATATGTGTACACTGTTTTGAGAGGTAGCATTGCACAGTGTTTAAGATCAGTTATGGGAATCAAAGCACGTGTGTTCCAATCCTAATTTCCTCACTAACCATGTGGCCTTGAGTAAGTTAGTTTATCTCTCCATGCTTCACTTCACTTACTTGACCTGGAAATTGGGATAATGACAGTACATACCTCATAAGATCATGAGGATAAAACTAGTATTGACTAGATAGTAGGATACAGAATGGATGTTTTTTGTTGCCCCAGATTTCCAAGAGAAACCTGAAATCAATGTGTGCCAGACAATTTATTCAGGTCTCGCTAAGGACTGTTAGTCTAGTTTTGTGATTCTTAGCTTTTCAGCCACTTTGAAGGTATATAAAAATGCTATGGATTAATTTTAAAAGATTGGTAGGGATTTCATTAAGGAGAGAGTTTCTTATTAGCCTATAACTTAGTGTGTAATACTATGTGCTGAATGCCCTTCAAAGAGTACAACATATATGAAGCTATTTAATCCTCATAAAAATCTCCTGAGAAGTCCTTTATTAGTTCCGTTTTAGAGATGAGGAAACTAAGGCAAGTTAAGTACCTATCTAATTTAACAGAGAGCCTAAGTGAAGAAGCTGGGAGAAGAGGGCAGGTGATTTGATCCCCAGCTGCAGATTTTCATTACCATGCTGGACAGCACCTTTGGAGTTGTCAGAGGACTGCTGATTTCTTCTTCCCCTCTCCATGCAGTACTTTCCTCTTGCCTTCAACCAAAGGAGAGGGCTTTGAGAGAATCACTCTGAGAGCTTAATATGAGCCTCCTGGAAACTGGAAGATTCATGAGCTGGTATCTGACCTGCTTCTGAAGATAAGAGACTACATAATGACACTTCAACAACCTGCAAAGTAAAACAGCACATTTCCTACAGGTTGGATAGCGGCCCCACAGAAGTTATCCTTGAAGAGGACGTTCCTAGAAAGGGGTGGAGGACAAGAGCCGGATGAGGCCAGAGTGAAGAAGTCCATCATTTCTTTCTTCCCCACTTTTGAGCTTGTGATAGGCCTGGCTAGCCAAGGGAACAAGCTTTATATTTGATTAGAAATTGAAGTTTTGATATTTTTAATTGAATTATACAACAAAAATTGAGTGACTAGAAAAGTTTTGTGAGTTTTCTGGAACTTTATCCACAACCAGAGAAGCAAGTATCAACAGAGATGCTGAACAGAGCAGAGATACAATGACGTGCTGCACAATGTGACTGAGTTCATATTCATTTATCCCACAAAAATACTTAGATCCTTCTCATTACTTTCAAATCAAAAACAAAGCCTAAATCTCTTAATGTGTCATCCAGGGCTTTTCATCATTTGACCCTTATTCTAGGCCTTTTATTTTCATTTCCCATCACATACAAACCACTCCATTTATATCTTATATGTGCATATTTTTTCACACCATTAGCCCATTGTTCATGCTAGTACCTCTACCTGGGATGAACTCTATACCAGCCCACTCTCGTAATTTTTACCCATCCTTTAGGGTTTGGATAATATCCTGCCTCTTGAAGAAAGTGTCAGGCCTCTGAGCCCAAGCCTGCACGTATACACCCAGATGGCCTGAAGCAACTGAAGAATCACAGAAGAAGTGAAAATGGCCAGTTCCTGCCTTAACTGATGACATTCCACCATTGTGATTTGTTCCTGCCCCACCTTAACTGATTGATTACCTTGGTGAAATTCCTTCTCCTCGACAATAAGTCTCAGAAGCTCCCCCACCGAGCACCTTGTGACCCCTGCCCCTGCCCGCAAGAGAAAAACCCCCTTTGACTGTAATTTTCCACTACTCACCCAAATCCTGTAAAACTGCCCCACCCCTATCTTCCTTGCTGGCTCTCTTTTCAGCCTCAGCCCACCTGCACCCAGGTGATTAAAAAGCTTTATTGCGGCCAGGTGCGGTGGCTCACGCCTGTAATCCTAGCACTGTGGGAGGCCGAGGCAGGTGGATCACAAGGTCAGGAGACCGACACCATCCTGTCTAACACTATGAAAACCTGTCTCTAATAAAAATATAAAAAATTAGCCAGGCATGGTCCCTGTAGTCCCAGGTACTCGGGAGACTGAGGCAGGAGAGTGGTGTGAACCCGGGAGGTGGAGCTTGCAGCAAGCCGAGATCACACCACTGCACTCCAGCTTGGGCGAAAGAGTGAGACTCCATCTCAAAATAAATAAATAAATAAATAATAAAATAAAATAAAGCTTTATTGCTCACACAAAGCCTGTTGGTGGTCTCTTCACATGGACGCGTGTGACAGAAAGCCCTTAGGTGTTCCCTCTGGTAGGATTAATAACAGTCTGCTATCAAACATCTATTATTTCAATATCTTTTAAAATATAATTAAAATAAGTGATTTACACAACTTCTTTCATTAAATTGTGCACGAATTCCTTGAGGGCAAGATGTTGTCTTAACTTTTTTAGTATTTCATATAGTGGTGGTCCCCAACCTTTTTGGTACCAGGGACCAGTTTTATGGAAGATAATTTTTCCATGGTCTGGGCCAGGGTGGGGTGGATGGTTTTGGGAAGATATAAGTACATTACATTTATTGTGCACTTTATTTCTATTATTATTACATTGTAATATATAATGAAATAATTATGCAACTCACCATAATGTAGAATTAGTGGGAGCCCTGAGCTTGTTTCCTGCAACTAGATGGTCCCATCTGGGAGTGATGGGAGACAGTGATAGATCATTGGGCATTAGATTCTCATAAGGAGCATGTAACCTAGATCCCTCACATGCGCAGTTCTGCAATAGGATTCATGCTCCTTTGAGGATCTAATGCCACTATTGATCTGACAGGAGGTGGCACTCAGGCAGCAATGTAAGCAATGGGGAGTAGCTGTAAATACAGACGAAGCTCCACTCACTTGCCCAACATTCACCTCCTGCTGTGTAGGCCTGTTTCTAACAGGCCACAGACAAGTACCAATCTGTGGCCCAGGGGTTGAGGACCCCTCCCCCATATATACTTAACAAATAATAGGTACATAAAAGACTCAAGAGATAGTAACAAAATTAAAACTTAATGGTTATTATGACCTGAGACCTTTCTCGCCTTCAATGTACTCTGAAAACTTCTCAGGAATATTGACACCATATGGACATTTTTAGGGTGTTTGCTTGCGAAAGACACAATGATATTTATACACAGTGGCATTAAAAAAAGAAACACTTAGAGAGAAAAGAGTTCTATATGTCAGACTGGTCCTTATATTTGAATATTAAGAAATTATGGTACTAGAATGAATAGATGCCAAACAAGTAAATATAAATCATAAGTAGATACAATTGAATCATAAGTAGATAAAAAATTGCAGAACACAGTGGACTGTGAGTCCAACTCACAAACAAAGGGTCTGTGTCTATGTCTATATGAAAGGTATGTGTATTGGAGGGCAACTTCTGGATGACTTGCCTTGTAGAAATAAGAATTTATTTTGCGCTTTGCCAGATATTCAATTCAGGACTCTGGAAGCAAGCAGGAAGAGTAATCACAGATTACTGTAGGCAGCTAGCCAGCTATATTTACCCCAACACACAAAGAGGCTTTTAAACACAGTCAAGATTGGGTAGCCCTCTAAAAACGAAAAAAGACTGAGACAACTCAGCATCTGCAGAAGGTAGAGAAAATTTGTTAGGTCATTAGGTTAGGTGAAGAACTGGATATATAATCAACTTCTGTTTTTGTTTTTGTTTTTTGAGATGGAGTCTCGCTCTGTTGTCCAGGCTGGAGTGCAGTGGCATGATCTCGGCTCACTGCAACCTCTGCCTCCTGGGTTCAAGCAATTCTTGTGCCTCAGCCTCTGGAGTATCTGGGATTACAGGCGCCTGCCACAACACCTGCCTAATTTTTGATATTTTCAGCAGAGACAGGGTTTCACCATGTTGGCCAGGGTGGTCTCAAACTCCTGACCTCAGGTAATTCACCCACCTCGGCCTCCCAAAGTGCTGAGATTACAGGCGTGAGCCACCGCACCTGGCCCTATAATTAACTTCTGATATACAGCATCTGTCATCAGGCTTGGTCCAGTTGAACAGGTAGGGACATTGGCTGATATCAAGGTCCCACCAGGAAACGCGGTGTACCAGGCAACTTAGGCTGTAGAAATAGGTTGGATGTGCTATATAAGGACCAAACAAACAAACAAACCAAACAAAACAAAAACAACATCCCTCCACCATTAAATTGAGTATGGGCTATTAATAGCATTTGACATTTCAACAATGTTTTCGGCTATGTTAGCAACGATTTTTGCAATCTGCAAAGGTGGGGCCAAAAATAAAACAACCTTAAGGAAATTTCTTGACTGCTTAGGTTTTTTTCTATGGAATCTTAAATTCCTTTATTTTCTCTCAATTTTATAAGCAGGCAGCTACAAAATTAATATTAGAAAGCACTGTCTCATTTGATAGATATATAATATTGGTATGTACTTTACTGATTATCTAGTCCTCAATTATTAATTACTTCAGACAAATTACTTAATTCTTCCTATATACAGCCTCCTCGTTCATGAAATGGGGATGATAATAGTACCAAATTCAGATAGTTGTTCTAAGGTTTAAGTGAGCATACTGATGGAAAACACAAAACACAGTGTGTAATACAGAGTAGATACTCAACATGAGCTTTGAGTAATACATCACTATACAGCATGTCTATATTTACTACATAATGTTATTCTCTATACATTGAATTATATATTATATAATTATATAGTCGAACTCTTTCCTTTTATATACAGACACTAAAAGCCAGAGATATTTGTTCACTTTTCTTTTTCTTTTTTTTTTTTTTTGTCGCCCAGGCTGGAGTGCAATGGCGCAATCTCAGCTCACTGCAACCTCTGCCTCCCGGGTTCAAGTGATTCTCCTGCCTCAGCCTCCTGAGTAGCTGGGATTACAGGCGTGTGCCACCACTCCAGGCTAATTTTTGTATTTTCAGTAGAGATGGGGTTGGCCAGGCTGGTCTTGAACTCCCGACCTCAAGTGATCCTCCCGCCTCGGCTTCCCAAAGTGCTGGGATTACAGGTGTGAGCCACGGCGTCCAGCCTACATTTGTTTACTTTTCTAAGGTAACTCTGTTGTATTTAAAAGGAATGATTGCATACATTGAAAGTGAGTATAGAAGGAAATAATCTGGACTCTTGAGATGAAGCTAAGGAATCATCATTGTCTGATGTTAGTCTTCTAATCCATTGAAAAATCTTCTCATGAAAAGTGTTTTCAGAAATGGAGTACAGACCAATAAAGCTGTGGTGCTACAGCTTTCTTGATTTCCTCTTGCTATATTAAAAGGCTGAGTAATTCAATCCAGTTTAACGAGTATTGGTTACTGGGTATTTTTCAGTATCATAAACGCTGTGTTTTGCAAGTTTTTTTTTTTTTTACTCAGTAAATTATTTCGATGGAATTTTAAGTTGTCAAAAATGTTCTTTAATTGAATCTAGCAAATCTTTATTGAGTACCCCTTGTATATTGAAAAGTGGGGTGTACAAAAATTAATGATAAGCAGTCTTAATAGCAGGCAACTAATTATAATACAATATGATTGGTGCTGCTATGGAAAGAAGGGCTCTAGTATTTTGTTTACATATACTGGAAAATAAAAATGCTTGAGGAATAAATGCTTGAGGGAATAAAAATGGAAGAAGAAAACATGTATTACAGGAAAGAGCAATGAACAATGGCACCATGTTTTAAATGTACATGATGTTGGGGGAATGACTAAAATATGTAGGGTATACGTAAGCATGGTCAAAAGCTGGCTAGAGACAGGTTGATGATGGGTCTTTAGTGCTACGAACTTCATTATGAACAGTATCAGTAGCTCAATGAGGTTTATAAAGTAATGACATGATTAACTTTGTTTTTAATGATCTAATTGAGACACTGGAAGGTGATCAAGTAGAAAACAGAACAATTCTTGGCCCCCCTTTAGCAGGTATGTACTAAAAATGACAGCTAATTTGAATATTAACTTTTCAAAAATACAGATAGGAAGACAAATCTTCTACAGACCAAATCAACCGCTACTCAACTTAATGGCTTTATATCAGCTGCACCATGACCCCCTCTCATTCTCTTGGACGATGGGGGAGATGAACGCATTGGTAATGAAATACCCATCAGTCCTCAACTACATCCCTATTTTAAAACTGAATTTGCACAATAGCTTTTTGAAAGGCCTGTCACTGCTGCACTGTTGCCTCTGTCGCACTTCTCTGTGGGAGCTGACATTTTGCTGATACTTCATCGGGCTGGACCGCCTGCTGAGAGCCAGATTGGTAAGGGAAATGCATCTCACTGTGGGAAAGGATAGGAGATGTATTATTTAAATACAATTTATTTTACAGCAACTTTAAAAATCTGATTTACAATTGTTTCAGAGAGGAGGAAGTATCTTGTTGTACCTTAGCTCTTTATGTTTGGTAATATTTCAGATTTTAATTGTTTTTCTAATTTTTAAAACTTGTTTGCTGTTTTGCCTTGCTTTACACATACTCTTTTACTTCTACCTTGGATAACTGGTAACTGTCTTTTCTTTTTCTTCTTCTTCTTCTTCTTTTTTTTTTTTTTTTTTTAACAAAAGTGTGTCACTAAGGAAATACCAGCCCTCATTCGTGCTGGGTGTGGTAGAGGAAGTTGGAAAACAGCTTAGAGGTTGTTAAAGGATTCTCTAGATTGAGTCAAAACCCCAGCTATATGAATTCTAGAGTAAAAGACTGAGGAGACTGTGTTTACACATAAAGCAACTCAATACCTTCTTTTGTCTGTTTTTTGAATCTTGAATCCATTTAGCCAAACAATTGATTTTTGTCTTGAAAATAAAATAGCCTATCTAAATAGCAAATTTTTGTTGGTTGGAACTATTTATTGGTTAATTCAACCAAAAAGGTCAATCGGGTTATCTGTTTAGAAACAGTAAAATAAAACTGATACCTGAAAAGTAATAATTTCTTCATATCAATAGAGAAAGTAAAAGTTAAGAAATTGTTTGGTGTGTTCAGAATACAAATATTTGCCAGCCAATGGTATGCTGGAGCCATAACTACCGGCTCGGGAAAGCCAACTGCTACATTTTCAGGAATTTTGCAAGCCATTTGAAATCACATTGATTGCTTGAAATCACCACGGTAGGAGTATTATACCTTGGAAATCGGCAAACACTAAAACTCAGTGCTTTTATCTTTCACAGAGCCTGTTAAACATTTGCCAGCTTAGCACTGAGGAAGGCTTACACCTGTGTTCATTATGGTTTTTATGAAGTTTGATCAAATAATATTTGAAGCATGGATGTATTTGGAATTAGTATCTCCCTTCCCATGTCTTTTCTCCTTTCTGATTTTCTCTCCTTTAATAGTGAAGGGGCCTGTTTTGTAAGTGCTCCTGAAAAATAAAAGTAATCACTAAATGACTAAGGAATAGAAAATGAGGTTTCTGACGAAAGGGAAATAAAATATTAGGAGGAAACGTTACTATGTTCTTTTAGGTGTTTATTTTTCAAGAGTTTTGGTAGTGCTGATGAGCTATGGTTAATATTCACAATAGGAGAAAAAGGAGAAAATGGTCTAAAATTAAAATAGCAATAAGTTAAATATGACTGAAGGAAAAAAATATCTTCACTATTATGGGAACAGTTTAGGCCAACAGAGAATACTTTAAGAATAGATAACTATTTTTCTTGGATATTTAGTCACCAATTGGTCTAAAGATGATGCCATTTTTTTCTCTGATTCCTAAGGAAAAAGTAGTAAACTAGTAAATATGAAAAAGACAGAAATGTATAAAGGAGAAAAATATTCACCCATAGTCCCACCATCTAGAGATGGACACTGTTTAAAAACTGCTGTCCTTTCTTCTACAATTTCCCATATACATACATAGCTACATGTTCTTACAAATTTGAATCATTCTGTACATATAGCTTTTAACATCAACTCAATGTCAATTTTTCTGACATGACATATTCTTCTAAAACATGAAACTTAATGGCCTCAGAAGAGTCCAGTGATATGCTGTATAATTTGCTCAATCATTCTCCTTCTAGTGGGTATTTAGGTTGTTTCTACTTTAAGCTTTTTTTGTTGTTATAAATAATGCTGGGATAAAGAAAAGGCTGGGAGCCCTTCTCTGATTATTTGCTAAAAGGCCTGACATGTAAGATTTAACTGCCCTTCACATAGATGATGCATTCTTATCAAGGGTGTGAGAGTGCCTGTGATTCCACCCCCATGGCCATGCCACACCATACACATACTGTTTAGGAAGCAAAAACAAAAAACAGCAACAAAGTCCAATCTACCATAATCCAGAGGATTTTTTAAATACAGTGAAATAAAAGATTTAAAAAGATTTTCCCCAAGTATTTGTATTTATAACTTCCAAACAACAGGATTTATTAAAAAGCCAATATATTTAAACGTAGCTTTTTGGTCTTTCCTGCCTCTAAAATATATTACTTATATAGCCTATGAGTATTTTTACAGTTCATTATGCAGAGTAACTAGGTTTTAAAATTCTGTGAGCACCATAACGGGATATTTAGAGAAATGTTGTATGCTTTTCTTCAAATACATGCCACTTTTAAAATGCCACACACATTTTTTGTGAGGTACGCGTGAAGCATTTTTAATGAATTCTATCATTTGGCTCCATTCATTTTCCTAAATATCTTATTATGGTGATTATATAATTTGTGTTTGTGTCTGTGTGTGTAAAATCAGATAATAGCATGTAATACTAAAATTGGACTGGACTAGGAGTCAGGGAATATTTTTGCATATTGAATTCAATACATGTATCATTATCAAGTTGCCAATAAAATGTAAATAGTATTACTTATCACTAACAAATCTCTCAGGACTATCATGAAATGTTTTTCTGGGATTTGAAGTCATAAAAGGAAAGAACTGTAACATAACTATGAAAATTAATATCTTAAAGAATGAGGAGTTTATCTTTTTCTTCACTTGTTCTTAAATGGTCTATTTATATCACTTGACAACTGGAACAGTGTAAACTTTATCACTATCTGCTTAATAATTATTCCATTAAAGTTGAGTTAGACAAGAGAAAATGTCACTTCACTGTGGAAATAGCAAGTAACTACCTTTTGAATATGTAAATTCTTACCTTTAAGAGGTATTTTTTTTTTTTTGAAGCAAACAAGTAGGTTAGGGATAGCCAACTGCTTCTCCAGTAAACTATTCTACTGTTTGAAATGCTTGTCAAAAGTGCCAGAATAATGGTTCTAAAATAAAGTATCTTGCTATATACAGAAAGTCATCAAAGATCTAGTCCTGTAACTTTTGCCTGAGGGTTCTCCCTAGGGGCAGCAATATTTCCCAAAGTGATCATATGATTAGCTCAGTGCTAAATACTATCTGCTTACATTTTATATATGGTGTTTCTGATTTTATATATTTGTTGGTTAATGGAAAGGCCTAAGCACTGAAAGCTAATTCAAATCACTGTTCACACTTCATAAAATGATAATCACAAATGTTTGCTAATCTTTATTAGACAAATAAATAGTAATGTAAAAAAAAAAGTATAATTACTATCCAGCCCATAGTTTTCCTCACATTCTCAAGTCACTGTGTTTCATTGTCAATGGAGTAGAGAAGGTGATACAGGCAGGGTTAGCACAACTTACAAATAATCACAACCAGAAAAGGGTACAGCGGGATAGTAGTTCTACTGGCTCCTTGAAACTAGTTCGATGTAGCTAATCACTTTCTATCACTCTCTAATCTGCTCCCATCTGACAAGAATGATAATTCTAGTCTAATAGGTTCTTAAAGTGCCTTTCAGTATAAATTTGAATAGCATACTATGGTAGATTGCTTCCAAAAATGGCTGCAACCATATCTCTCAACTTGAAGGTCTTTTGCAATAAGCTTCTGCTACTCTTCTCTTCAGAAGGTAGAATCTCTTTCTCCTTCCCCTGAACTTGGCTTGCCCATGACTTGCTTTAACCAATAGAATGTGGTGAAAGTGACAATGTGTGGCTTCTGAGGCAAGGCTTTTCCACCTCACATAGCTTTTGCTTGCACACTTTTGGAATGCTCCTTCTTTATTGTCTTAAAACTGTCACGCTATAGGAAAGTCCAAGTTAACCTTGTGGAAATGTTTTGTAAAGGAAAGGGCAAGTTCCCTGGTTGAGCAGCCCAGCCATGCCCAGTCTGTTCTCAAATATCTACCAGCCCAAGCAGTCACATGAGTGACCCCAGGGGACACCAGCAGTATAATCGCCTCATCAAACCATAGAATTAAGGGAAATATTAAATCATTGTTTTAAGCCACAAAGTATTGGGGTAGTTTGTTACACAACAATAAATGGTGGGAACATGCATCCTAACATAGCAATATCTTGTATAGCAGGAAAAAAAAGCATTTTTAAAGTTAACAGTTTTATTAACTTTGTTGGTTATTTCGTCTAGGTTTATGACTTACATATGGTACAGGATTTTCTTGTGTAATCAGGAGTGCAGTCACAATTTCCAGTTTTTTTGTTGCACTGACCTCCATTTTCACAGGGTGCAGAGGAGAACCAGCCCTCTGGTCCCCAGAGGCCATCTGGGCAGACATAAAATAAAAAGAGAGAGAGAGAAAGAAACGTAGACTTGTAAGAAGTCTCAAAATGGTCCAAGATTTCTACTGTTGCCTAACCAAGTTGGAAAAGTGTGTGTGTGTGTGTGTGTGTGTGTGTGTGACAGAGCTGCAAAGAAAGAAATATCCTAGTAGCCTCCAAGGATTTATAACACTTCCAAAAGTATTCCCTGAAGAAATCAACATGATACTATATCTTGTCACTTTGAAAACACAGATACAGAGGTTGGCTTTTTGCTGAAAATGTGGTTTTTCAGACAGTAACAATGGAAGCAATTTTGATATATATCTTTAGCAGCAGTTGCACAGAACAAAACCTGAAAATGAGATGTAATTTGTAAAGGAAGCTCAGGAGGCGTGGCACTCAGGAAGTTGCCCTCAAATTGTTGCCTAAATCCTGTTCTCTAAGACTGCTTCTTTTGTGAGCTAAAATAATCACACCAGAGGTTTATGAACTGTGTACTTTATGAGAGTGTACAGTGCATAAGGTGGGAGAAGAGAAAGAGTGATCTGCTTTGTTGACTGTTCTTTGAACTAGCAAAGGACAGTTGATGCTGCAGGGACCACTGAGGGCTCAGTGAGAGGTTTCAGTGTGTGTTCTTCCATATAAACCACTGGAATTAGAAACCCGGTGGAAAGCATTTTTTTTTAACCCAAGGAAAAAGGTGGAACTTTCTTAAAAATATAACACTTATGAAAAGTTACATCAAATCAAGTTGGGCTGTGAAGTATCTTCTTGTCCTACAGAATTATAATATTTTCTGGGATATTCATACCCGATCTGTTGATTACTAACTCTGTTAAGCACTTTATGTAAATTAGCTCATACTTCCAAAAGAGAACCCTATGGCATAAGCAAATTTATTTCCATTTTATATGAGAAACAGAGGCTCCCACAAGTTAAGTGACTTACTCTATATCACAAAGCTTGAACCCAGATCTCCTGGCCTCTGAAACTGGTGCGCTCAGCCACTACACCCGAATTTACTCTACAATACTAGGTACTCAGCATCTTTCAGGCCAATTAATCTGCTCTTAAAGATTCACCGGGTTCAAAATTCGAAGTTCATCTGATGTGGAACTCTTCTAAAAAAAATCTTTCTTTCTTATCATGATCCAGGGGTTGTATAGTGTCAAGGGGCCAGCTGGGCCAGAGTCCTCTACATTCTGAGGTCTGCCTGCAGTGAGTGTGCAAAATACTCTAGGCTACAAACTAATCTAAACAAGGCAAAGACACCGGCTGCTTTACTTTTTCTTTCTTTTTTTTTTTTTTTTTTTTTTTTTTTTTTTTGCTATTTCACAGGTTAGTTGTAGAAACCAGCTCTTCTGTTCTTAGAAGTCATTGCTGATAAGCTAAATAAGGCCTGGTGCTGATTGCGGAAAATACTGTTCATTAGTGCCATTGAAACAATTTCCAGTCTTTAATTAACTATTCATCTGCAATCTAGACACAGGTCTGGAGTTAAGATTTTTAAAGATATGTCTGTCTCTAGGAGCACTTGGGCTACTTCACTCTTTTAAAAAAGAGAAAGAAAAACAACAGGCCTGATTTTCATCATGCACAACTCTTGGAGAGCTCTTTTTGCCTTGATTTCAACTGCCAATCATAGCAACCCCATTCACCTGCTGCAGTCTGATTCATAATTTCATTTTGTGGTTAGACAAAAATATCAGAATTGGACAAAGTTATCTGATTGAAAAATAATATGTTTTCCAGAGATTATGGTGACCTCTCTATTTTGCTGATTTACATATACTTTCAACTCATTTTCCTTCACAGTGGGAATCTCAGAAGCATTTTCCAATAAAGTATATTCAGCAGCTGCTTTAAGAAAATGTTATCAGAATAAATTAAGTTTACCCAGGTTTGTTATATGGCATTGTCTCCTCATACATTGACTTCCAGGGCATGACTTCTCCAGGAGGAAAATGAATAAGGGGTTGACTCTGGGCTTAAAAATCATTTGAAGCAGGAAGATGTTTAGAAATTGGCATGGGACCTACTCTCATACCACATTAAACCCGTTAGTGTCATGTTAGGATTCTATTTCCCCAACTTCCTTTCCCTAATGTCTAGAAAGTCACAATCCAGCTACCTAAGTAAACTCTGTCCATGAAATCTAGATGGACATCACTGTTCACCCTCTCCAGTTCTATAACCACTAGACAACCTGGAACAGAGAAACTCCCCTGTCCATCCAGCTCCAGAAAAGCCCTGCAGATCCTCTGAAGATGGCATTGCAAGGAGAAAGTGAGGATACGTGAGTGTCAAAGACCATTTTCAATCCTAGTGCCTGCCTCTGTAAGTGGCCCCAAAGACATGATGGTTTCCTTTCGAACCTATTATCTCCTTCTGATTTTACACAAGGTTGTACTAAAGAGAAAAAAATGCTGTGATATTTTCCTCTGAAATATAATAATAAGTGCTTAATGCAAAATACATGATAATACAAGAAAAATGTATAAAGAATAAAAATGCAAATTTATGTATTGATTTAAGAAAATATTTATTGAGCAATATCTGTATATCAGGACTGTTTCAGAAGTTTGGGGATACTTGGCTGAACAAAATTTTTAGATACCCTTCACTCATGGGGTTCTGCTTATAGCAGGAAAAGACAGGCAATAAATATTTGACATCATAATTAGAGTATGTGCTGTATTAGAAAATGATCAGCAGTATAAAAAAAGAAAAAAGTTTGGAAACTTACAAGTTACAGTTTTAAGTAGGGTAGTACTGACAAGATTCAGTAAAAAAGGAACATGAGACTTTTTGAAATGTGAAAGAGTTATGTAGGTACCTAGGAAAGAGCATCCCATGAATGCACAAGCCAGAGATAGTCAATACTGGCATCTTGGAATACCTTTTTCCAAATGGTATATGCATCTACACACACACACATATATACCTATATATGTTACTTGTAATTGTAATCATACTATACAATAACTTTTATATTTATAAAAAATGTAATACATACAAATTTGAAAAACCAAAACACCAATAACCATATTAAAACTTTTCAAAGTTTTTCTATGGTTAAGCATTAGCATCTTTGAATTACATTTGTTTGAATGATCAATCCTTAGATATAAAGAAAACAATTCTAATTCTGGAAGTTAGTAGTGCCTTGGGTTGATTAGTTCAGTTTAAAGAAGCAGTTGTCTAGCTTTAGTCTTTCTGAATATAATTATCTGCAGTGTGATCTTTCTTCTCTTGCTCAAGCTAACAAGGGGACAGGAAGCAGCAGAGGCTAAGAAGACTGCATTAAATAACTCTATTGCCCTATGTCTCAGTTTCCTCACCTGCATATAGGGGATTAATAGAGCTTACCCATCTTCTGAGGGCACTGGTGGATTAACTAATTAATAATCATATGATGCTGAACAAAGGCTGAGGATTATTATTAAAGAAGAAAGAAAATCTATCATCAGAGCATACCTTTCTGGCATCTGTTGCCTTGGTAACCAGATTTGCAGGTGCAACTACCATTTTTGGCACTGCATTCCAGGGTATTCTCCTCCACACACTGACATTCTGAAGTGCAGCCAGCTCCGTAGGCATCCTCGAGACAGTCTATAAGCAAATAGAGGCAAAGCGGTCACCTGAAAACCACGCTTTGTTTATTTTAAATTGTTAGTGCACAGGCATGTAGTTCTGTGGAGCCTGATTATGGGGAAAACAAGAGGATCATCCTGACTGCCAAAAAAATGAGGAAACAAATGTCTTTTAAATCAGGCAATTCATTTGCTTTTTGGCAACTGGACGTGAACAGTGAAGCCTGAACTACTTAAAAGGCTTTGGTGCTTCCGGGAGAGAAATTGCTTCTCAATGTGCTCCATTGGTGCCTATAGTTAATATTCTCCAAAGAATGCTAAGGCCTGCCAGGCCCCATATTCATCCTGCTGCAGCATGGAGATGACGGACAAGCACTTATGAGAAGGCTGGCCGTTGTTTTCATTCCCTTCCATTCTATGGTAATCAGAAATAATTTTACATCATGTAGGATAACATAAAGGTTTCATGGTGACAACAGCGTTATCTTGGCCACATCTTTGGCAAATGGTACTTGCCTTCCTTTCATTATTTTCTCTTTGCCATTGAGTGTTAGGGATGGAAGGCAGCACAGGAATTCTAATATGAAAAAGTCACACCTTTGCATTCAGGAAAACATACCCATAGTTTTCTCTTTGAGGAGTGTTACAGTAATTCAATTCCTTTTCTGAAATATCCCTCTGACATTATTTTCTCCCCTATTACAGATGTCCAAGTGACATACCAAGTAAAAAATCCTTCAAGTGGCCTCCAGGCTCAAGGTAATTGCATTGTGTGCCCACATACGCTTTGCTGTAGAAAGCTGCTTAGAGAGAACACTTGACTTTCCAGTGGATGGAAAGAGACATTAGTAGAGATCATTCAAAGTGATGGTTATGATGCCACCATGTAGGGCCATCCTAGTCCCAATTGCCAGGGATAGTACAGAGCTACCTCTAAAGTTAACAGAGTCCTTTTCAGGTTTCCCAATGTAGATAATAACTTATATGATCCTCTATCTCCTTTTCTATGGCTTCCAAGTTTTGGATCCTTTCGTACACCCACCAGGTCCCAGGGTCTCTCAGGCTGTTGCCTGCCTTAATGTAGGCCTCTTCTTGCTCATTCCTAAATCCTCACTCAAAATTGTCCTTCATGCCCTATTCTTTCTGGTTCAGCACATAGAATTATGGTTCAGAAGACAACACAGACACAGAGGAATGCTTAAATGTGACCATTTGTATATTAAGAACATATCAGTACTGGAATATATTTGGAAATACGGAAAAGTGGGGTTTGTAATGCATTGAAATGTGTCCACCAAAAATTCATATGTTGAAGTTCTAATCCTTCAGTACTTCAGAATGTAAATTTATTTGAACCTGAATCATTGCAGACATAAGTAGTTAAGATGAGGTCATACTGGAATAGGATGGCCTCTAATTCAATATGACTGCTGTCCTTATAAATAAGCAGTATTTGTATGCAGAGACATGTACCATACGAAGATTGAAGTTAAGTTGCCACAAGCCAAGGAACTACCAGAAACTAGGAGAGAGGCCTGGAACAGATCTGTCCCTAGCACCTTCAGGGGGTTGGGGACACCTTGATCTTGGACGTCTAGCTTACAGAACTACAAGGCAATGCATTTCTGTTGTTTAAGCCATTCAGTTTGTGGTACTTTGTTATGGTGGGACTAAAAAACGAATATATAGAGTTGCAAACTCAAGTTCCTGAAGACCAGGAAAGTGACATTAATAAATAAATCTTCAAGTCCAAGCAATAAGGGAGTTGCAAAGAACTAGAATGTATCATTTTTCCCTAAAGATAGTCATATTCAAAATGCTAACCACCACCACCACCACCAACACAACAAACATGTTTGCTGATTTTTTTCCTGTGCCTCAACTCCTCGCAGCATGCAAATGAATAAATATGTGCTATGCCAATATCATTAAACCCTAAAAACTTCAACTTGATGTTTCTGAAAAGTTATCCCTTTACATTTTTGACCAGATCAATAATGATTCAATTTTTTTTTGCCATAACATCTGATGTAACCTTTTTAGATATTCTAAAGTTAATACTAAAAGTGGGATGTGTCTTGTTACACTACAGGAACAATAATACAAATATTATCCTTGTTTCTAGGTCAATCTTCTTCTCTTGGCATATCCTAGGAGGTATATAACATTCTGGAACATACCATCTGCACCTCTATTGCTCATAGTTTCCCACACCTTTCCCCTTCTCTTCTATGTTGCTTGTCTAGGCCTAATGTTTCCTCATGCTCCAGGTTTAGTGTTCTATGATGACTTCACTGGATCTCTTATTGGTATATTTATAATTTATCTTTCCTATGGACATGGCTTTTATAAAATAGACGAGAATCATGGATATTCATTAAAATAAAACATAAGACTCTAAAAGGTGTCTGTTATCAAGAGATGGTTATGGTATTAAGTGGTTCTATGGTTAGAATGTTTTTGTCCTCCCAAAATTCATATGTTGAAATCCTGACTCCCAGGGCTATGGTATTAGCAGTGATTAAGTGATTATGTTGTGAGGATGGAGCTTTCATGAATAAAATTAGTGATCTTAAAAGAGACCCCAGAGAACTGCCTTGTCCCTTCCACCATGCATGAGAACACAGTGAAAAGATGCCATCTAAGAACCAACAAGTAAGCCCTCCCCAGATACCAAATCTGGTGTCTTGATCTCAGTCTTCCCAGTCTCCAGTACTGTGAGAAACAAGTATTTGTTGATTATGTACAACCTGGCTTATGGTATTCTGTTGTAGCAGCCCAGATGGACTAAAACACTGAAGTTCAATCAGGAAAGATTTTCAGAGGCATTAGTCTGTTAACAAAAAGAGAAGAGGATGTGAAATAGGTAGAGGAGCAGGGTGAAGATTTTTGCAGGCTCATAGATACTTGCACATAGCATCAAGGTGGGATGGAGAACATTCAGAGTTATCCCACTGGGAGAAATTCTAAAAGTTACTGCTGGGTTGAAGTATTTGTTAGTGATCATGTTTTCTTGCATCCTTTGAAAAATGTGATTAATAGTCAAAATGCAATATTAGAAATCTTAGAGAATGAGACTGCTTCATTCTGGAACAGAGAAATAAAAGAAACTTGTTCTGGCCCGAGGTATTCAACTTTGGTAAAGTATCAAACATCTACTTAAAGAGACTATTAACAATCCACTCCCATTAATTAAGGTAAACATTAATCAGATGTAAAACAAAATTAGAAACATTTTTCTTTCATTCATTAAAATCTAGATTCTATAAAGAGGCTAAAGGCTATAACATATTTGTCATATATATAAAACTATAGAAAACATTTTTTACTCTCTTCCTTTGTCTGACAGTAGTCTCTGCACTTTTCTGTGTCTTCACGCTTTACACACAGAGCAAATTAAGTGCCTGCAAGTTACTCAGATGACAAAACCTCCCATGGCGCCCTGGCTCACACATATGGGCGCCATACATCCTGTGGCAATGGCCATTGTTGGCACAGTTACATTTCCTTTTGCAGTTCTTCCCAAAGAACCCTTTTGGGCATCCTGGAAGGTGAGAGGACAAATGAAGAAAATATTAAACCACATGTAAAACTTGCTAGAGTTATTGTTATAGGAAGTCAGGAGACTGAGAAAGGTGAAATGTTTCCAATCTGGTTGAACTGAGGCTAGAGAGATCTTTTTAAAACCACCAAGATGATTCTGTATCCTCTGCTTAAAAATCCTACAATGACTCGTCATTGCTGTCTGGTCAAAAACACCAAACTTAATAAGACTGGGGCCCCTGAGCTTGCTGACCTCATGTTGCACTACCGTCTCCCTGTCTGCCTGTGCTCCGCTCCGCTGGCCTCTGCAGGTTTCATAGAGCATCCCATGCCTTCCTACTGCCTCTTAATCAGGAAAGCTCTTTCCTCACTCTTCTCCTGTTTTATCTCTCCACATTTTGCAGGCTTTTGCTTAAATGTGACTTCTCCATAAGTCTCTCTCTCAGGCTCATACAGTCTGCATTGTCCTCATGGTCTCACTTCCAACCACATATTAGTACTGGTAGGTAATCCCTACCAGTATTTGTAATTTATGGTTGCCTTGAACAAAATCGCAAGTTCCACATGGAAGCATCATAATAGCTTTTATTTCTTTTTTGTTATCATATCATAATGTCTGGTGCCATTCCTTGCAACCATTTAATGTAGTTTTTAAATAAATAAATGAACATTGCTCACAAAGATAAGTAACTGAAATGCCAGCAGGGACCTTACTGCATCTCAGAAAGTGAAGTAAACTTCATTTCCAGCTCCCCAATTCTATCAACTGTGAGAAGCTAATAAACTCCTCATGATTTCTGGCCATCCCTAGAGACTTACATCCTCACTGACTCTCTGCCTTCAGCTTTTGTGCATGTGCAAGCAGGTTCTTTTTTTTGTGCTTTATTAACCCATGTAGGAATTGTGGCCTCTTCACTGGTTTCCACACACACACACACACAAAATCTATGCACAGTACTCATTGGTATTTTGTGAGATTTTTATCCATCATCTCTTTTTTTCTTTTTCTCTCTACCTCCTTCCCTTTTCTTCTCTAATTTTCATCTGTCTTCCTCCCTGGTTTCCCCAAGGAGCTCTATTGTTCTTCATTTTGTTATGCAGAGAAAATAACTTCTCCTAAGCTCCTACATCTAAACCTATATACATAATTGTAACTTTTTGCTCAGTAGAAGAAAAAGGCTTTCTCTGTAAGAGGATTCGTCCTGCTTAGATCACAGTTGGAGATTTAAATATCACTTATTTCGTTGTTACACATGTCATCAGTCAAAACAATTGTACTCTTTTATATATACAGACACAGCTTTCACAGTCTTTTACTTCTTCAGAAAAAGGCCATTTTGAAAAATACACATGCAACTTTCACTTAGTTTACTTCTCATTAGAAACCCCAAGAACTTAACTGACTGGCACCAGACATTCCTTCTATCTTCACAAGTTTTCCCATGAACCCCTGGGGGGCTCTGGCAGTGCCCAGTCAGAAGATCACAGATGCCTCCATTCTGACAATTACCGATGCTGCCACATTCTTTCTCACTGGTCTCTGGGGAATAAGCTATGAAGAAACTAGAGAAGATGAACAAGCAATGGAACATACGTGTTCTGATACAAATGGAGGGAAAAAATAGCTTCTCTTTCTATCAGGATAGATACCAAGTAATTAAAAACTCAGTGGCTTACAGACCCAGGAAAATTTTCTGGCATGTTCCTAGTTTGTATAGCATAATCACTCCCGAGGGGATTACTGATACAGCTAGTTAAAATAATGATGACTGAAGAAATTGCTAACAAGTTTCAAATGCAAAATTTATCTCATTTCTTAAACTCTAACCCTCACACTTTAAAAGCTACCCAGACAACTTTGCTGTACAATTCCAACCCTAACGAGAAACAAACTGCATCTTCTATTTTGAAAACTGAGGGAAAAATGCTTTTAAAATGTCATGTATTTTTAACCAGGAATGAATGCAGCTAAGGTTCTCATGGGGGTCCCAAGGTAGTTTGCATTGCCAAAGATAAGACAAAGTCAGGCAAACAACAGTTTTCATTAGGTTGTTGGTATTTTTGTGTTTAGTGCTCTATAAAACAATAAATTGGGAAAAATGTCGGTGACTTTATATTGTAATGTAAGCAAATGTAGCTGTTGAGATAATTTCAGTAATAACTGTAATTGACATTTTATCATAATAGGCTAAATGTTATAAAATTACATTTATAAAATCTGCTCCATTCATCCCCTGCTCCCATTCCAGATGCTAATATGGAACTTGGCTTCTTATTCACCCTTTTCTTTGCTTTCAAGCCATAGGTTACTATGAAAGGGAAAAAAGGAAAGGATAAACAAAAAATGAGAGACTGGCAACAAGCATTTGTTGTGGCCTATATTATTAATTTACATTTTGTTAATGTTTGCATTTTAACAGCAACTACAGAAGGGGCAATTTTTAAACACTTAACCTGTAAAATGAAGCTAAGGAAGTTTAAATGGCTTGCACAGCGTCTGGATTATGGCGAGTCATCAATATAGACAAACCGACACTATAATTTGACACTCCCTCACAAAGTAAACTGTGATTATCATATAGTCTATAGATTTGCCAAATACTTCATTAGATCAAACAGTGTAGAGATTCTGGGGAAGAAAAATGTAAAACAAACACGTCCCAAACCATAGCTGGATGATGTAAAAAAAAAGTCATAAATCTCTCCTCCCATGTTTTAGTCTACTCATTTGACATATGAAAAATACTCCTATCTTTCCTTTCCACCAGATACAGTCTCACAATAACAAATGATCTCGATATGAAACCTTTCATAAGAAATGGGGTTCTAAAAGTGTGCTTTTAAAATTAAATAATATGTGGTCATTTTAAAATTGTTTCAATATATTTATTTGAAGAAACCTCTAAGAAATCAAAGTAGATATTTTCATTATAGACTAATAAATGTATTGGGCTAGAAGATCTACTCAACGGGAAAACTGACTTCTAGATCCCTGTTGAAAGTTCTTTTTTCATTTATTTTGCTGCATTTGAAAAGCTGGCAATCTTAAAAATATAGCCAATGAATAACTGGTCTCTGCTTATTGTAGTTTAAAGGGATTTATTCTTATTCTTCTTCTTATTATTATTATTTTTGTAGAGACTAGGACTTGCTATGTTGCCCAGGCTGGTCTCAAACTCCTGGCCTCAAGCGATCTTCCTGCCTCAGCCTCTCAGAGTGTTGAGATTACAGGCATGAGCCAGCACCCCTGGCCAATAGGGATTTTAAAGAAAATATTCCCACTCCTTCTTTTTGTTAAAAAAATATGAACAATTGTTTTTTGTTTCTCCTAAATAGATTGTTCTGTTTTCATTGTTGTAAAAGAAATAAGAGAAGGATATAGAGAAAGTACAAAGAAGATAGAAGTTCTGCTTTCAGGGGTAGACTCCCCTTTATTGCAACATATAAATATTTGAGAGATCCCCAAGGTTTTCTAAAGCCAAAGAAGATGCCATCTCATTTCTATTTTATCAGCAAGCTCATTTTCAATATTTTGGTATTAATTTTATGTCAGAGATATTTTATTCTTACGTGTTAGAGACAGATTTTTTCATTATTTTATTTTTTAGTTTTTAAATTTACTAGTGTGTAAAATATTTTTTATATTTTTATTTTTTATTTTTAAATTTTTATTTATTTTATTCTTATTTGTTTGAGATAGATTTTTTAGTTTTTTTACTATGTTAGGGATAAGTATTGGGAGATGCATATTTATCAATAAAACTTACAATATAAGGTAAATATTGACTTACTAGTGGTCATGCAATAATATTTATTTGATCCCAATTTTATGTATTTGAGTGTGCCAAGTTGCAGGTCAATATAGCTGGGAGTTTCAACACCAAGTTTTATTCATGTGTTCATTCATGCACTGGATACCTCCAGTGTGGAGAAATTCACAATGAATAAGCATGAATAGGACCTGGCCAGCAAGCTCTCAGTCTAGTAAAGAAGATAGAAAATAATCCAATGTAGAGAGAGAGAATTTTTTTTTAATCCACCAAAAACATAAATAGCTGTGTTAGACTGAGGCCATCAAATAAAGCTTCATGCAATAGGCAGAAATAGGCCTTCAAGGATGACAGTTTAGCAAAAGGCACAAAGATGAAAAATGCAGCACATTAAGTAGTGAGTGGTTTAGTATGCGGGAAATAATAGGTTAGGTGAAGCGTTAAGACTAGGACAAAAAGCCAAAAGGATTTATGAGAGTCTGATGGCCACTAGTGACTGGGTAAGATGTATACACTTTATGTGAAGGGAAAGGCACAAAGCTTTTCAGCAGCAGAGAAACATGATCAGAGGGATGCATGAGGAAGATCCTCAAAACCCTAACTAGTAATCTTGGTTAAACCATTTCACTATGTTATGACTGAAGTTTTGCATCTATATCATATAAGAGTAACAACAGCTGTGTTCCTCCCATATGTAGAGAGTTCAAAAGAAAATCTGTTCATATCATCTTCCAAGCCAATCACAAAAACTAAGACAAAACACTTATATAAATAGAACTCATAAAATGAATTTAAAAAGAGAAAGAAGAAACAAAGATAGTCAATACATTTTATCACTTGGAAGTTTGAACTCCTGAAAGCATACCTTCATTTAAAATATAGAGGAAAGGAATTTTGGGCAGTATCATTTTTAAATCTTTGAACTTACTCATGAGAGACTTGAATAAAAAAATTAAACCAGTGTCATTGGCTGTGTTTACATGTTTTTAAAAAGAAAAAGAACAAAAAAGTACACAAAACCAAGTAGCAAACAGTCAAGCAAGTCCATTTAAATTGCACTTTGTAGCACAAATCCTTTCCTTTTTTCTTCATTGGGAATAGCTTGTCAGGGCCTAATGATTTATTTAAATGGAGGGATTTTTATAGGCCTAGAATATTAGGATCCTTTATTAACTTTTACATTCCATGGATAAACAAGAGACAGCATGTTGAGTTTCCTAGGGAACATAAAATCTCCTTTTTAAATCACATATTCAGTTTAAAACTTAAAGCACTTCATAAGCATTATTTATGCCCAACAAATAAATTGTCTTCTCATACTTATCAATTGCTTACTTTATTAAAACATTTTGGGGAGAACATATGTAAAGGAGTAGTTTGGAGCACTTACCCAATTCTCAGGGTGTCACTTACTTTCATTACAAAGAATGACACGGCAACCTGCTGGGCAGGAGCATTCACTCTTTCCTTCCTGGCACTTTCCTCCATTCATGCAGTCCTTGCAGCTCAAGCTGCAATTGTGTCCAAAGATGTGATCTAAACAGACTGTAATGTGATACCATCTTAGTTCGTCCATAATTGACTACGTAACCAAAAATCAAAATAAAACCCTTAATTTCCTAAAAAAAAAAAAAAAAAAAGATCTTTGAGCATAGTTCCTAAAGAATCTTTAAAAAGGACAACAGCAAGATATAGCTTTTAAAATAAAGCTTATTTTACTTTTTCCAATTATTACATTAGAATATTGTCCCTAAGAATACTTAGAATCTTTAGGAATTTCTTTTTTAAAAAAGAAATTATCATTGATTTGAGACCAAAAAAAATTCAATGTTCCTGAAATTTTGATGCTTTTTCTTTCAGAATTTTTTATGTGTATTTTTGTTTTCTGAGTAAATCTTTTTATTAAAATTTAATACACAGAGAAGTGTACACAAATCTAAACTGTATACTTCAAACTTCTTTTCACATTGTAAATAACTCATGTAAATGCCACCCAGATCAAGGTACATAATATTACTAGCAATCCAAAATCTCAAAAGTGACTTAATAATTTTCAATCATTAATTTCATAAATTAAGCATCGTGGTGATCTCTATCACCACAGATTATTTTCCCTTTTTTGAACTTTTTATAGGTAGAATTGAAAAGTATGTACTCTTTGGTGTCAAGCTTCTTTCATTCAATATAATGTATGTGAGATCATACACATTGTGTATGCGAGAGTTTATTTTTTATGGTTATACAGTATTCCATTGTATTAATGTACCACAATGTATTTATTTATCCATTCTGTTTTTGAGGGAAATTATCATATAGAATAAAGGTGGAGAGATGTGTATTCAGTTGTTTAAGGCTCATTCCATTTTAACTTTTGTCCCTGTTTCTAGGGTAGGGACTTTAAGATGCCCTAATTGAAAACTTGGCATATTTACCAAGGCTTCTCTCCTTTGGCAGGCCTGAGCTCCATGTTCTGCCTCCCCAACATCATGAAACTGCTGATAAATGTGCTTCACTCTTCAAGCTCCTAGCAGCTATCTTTCAGATTCCTGGCACAACCCATTAATTGGCAAATGGCTTGAGGAGAAAAGCATCTGAGACCATCCTCCTTGTCTGGTCTTCTCTTCTTTGCAGATCTTGGCAACTCAAGTTCTGACTGTTGTTGTTGCCGCCCCCAACTATTTCTCTTCTGACTTTGATTAGCCAAAGCATCAGGAGTTTAATTAAGAAACATTAAAGTACTTCTATTTTTATATAGAGACACTTATTGATGATATTATGATTTGACCACTGCGTAAAAATATTTCTATTTTTCTGAATACATTCTAAAGCAATCATCAAGCTTTGATATTGTTAAAATACAATAAATAGAGGGAGAATAAAAAGAACAGCTCTGTTTTACAAAGGAAAAAAAAGAAGCAGTGGACTGGCTGCAAACAGTTACTTTTGATAGAGATTTACTTTGATCAGAAGTCGACGCTTGAGTTCTGTTGTTTAGATATATAAGAAAAACTGCTCACATTTTGAAGATTTTCTGGTCCATTTAAGCATATTAACCAATTAGTTCTCTGCATTTTAAAACCTAGAAAGGAACTACATTTTAGGGCTATTTAAGGTAAATTTTAACTATCTAAGGTGATTTCTAGTGAAATTTTAATAGAATTATAAGATTTCAATCTTTCTCCCCATTATGCTAATTTAAAGATATTTTTCTGCTCCATTTCCCTGTATTAACTTCAAGAACACCCCTCCACACTGCACTCCCACTTCTACAAGTACCTACACAGCACTCCTTTATTGTACAAAAGGAAATAAAAAAGACAAAAGATGATGGATTTCATAGGAAGCTCTGAAGAAGTGACTTTGGCCCTACTTTTCTTGCAAACTTCATGTTAAAACATATGATGGCATTAAATATTGATAGTAAAATTGTCTACAAAAATGTAGTAAATTATCTAAAAATAGAAGTAAGTATAGTAAGGTAAATTCTTTTACACACCAAAATTGTGCAAAGCAGTCAGTTCTCTATGAATATCTTTTTCCTCTTCCTCCTCATCTTCTTCATCTTTGTAGGTGGGAGGCAGAAAAGTAGCAACATAATGAAGCTGTTGAGGTGGGCTCTTGAATAGAAGACCTGGAAACCTCACAACTTCTCATTCCTCTTCTTCTTCCTCTAGCTCATCATCATCTAAAGCTAAGGCCATAGAAGAAAATGCGAGGTTTCAACTTGGTTAAAAGAAGGAAGTACTGTGCAAAGGTTGATAGAGAAATGAGAGAGTTTGAACTAGACAGCCAAGGCAGGGGGTAACAGAAAGGTAAAATGCTTTGAGATGGCCATTTCAAAAGTCTATTGTAAATGAAGGTGAGAAGCTGCCAGCACAAAGTTAAAACTGTAGCAGAGAGAACAAAAGAAAATAAGGAAAGATCTTAGTCTGTGAAGACAGAAAGGGGAAGGCAGGTTGAGTTAAGAAATATGTGGCCTCCATTGCTCCTGAAGAACAAGATGAGGCTGGAAGTAGTTTAGAAAATATATTAATACAATAAAATTCTTCAGTGACTTACAGGGGTAAGTTTTTCTGTCATTTCCAATTCTGTAGCCTTCTTCACAACTACATTCGTATGTTCCCACAGAATTAATGTAGTTGGTCACAGACTATACTGACATCCAGACACTCATCCACATCTAAGAAAATTTAAACAATATCTGCTTTTAGGCATTGAGAGATAAGATAGATCTTATGAAATAATAGACATATTGGTGTTCCTCTTGTGACCTTTATTAAACAATAACAATGTACTGCCACATAGAAAGCAAGCATAGCCCCCACATTCTTTCTCAAGTACACTTGGCCAATTATTTTTATTTCACTCATTTTCAAGTTTACTCTACTTCATCTACACAGACAAGGTATTTCTGAGACCTTGTTTGTGAGGTTTAGATGAAAAACTTAAAATAAATTCAGGCCGGGTGTGGTGGCTCACGCCTGTAATCCCAGCACTTTGGGAGGCCGAGGCGGGCAGATCACGAGGTCAGGAGATCGAGACCATCCTGGCTAACACGGTGAAACCCCGTCTCTACTAAAAAATACAAAAAATTAGCCGGGCGTGGTAGCAGGTGCCTGTAGTCCCAGCTACTTGGGAGGCTGAGGCAGGAGAATGGCGTGAACCCAGGAGGCGGAGCTTGCAGTGAGCCGAGATCCCGCCACTGCACTCCAGCCAGGGCGACAGAGCGAGACTCCTTCTCAAAAATAAATAAATAAATAATTAAATAATTAATTAATTCAGTGGTCTCAGGCTGTGTACCCTTTTGTAGAATGTTCATTCACTCTCGAATTATTCAATATATATGATAGAAAACTTATTCTAGGTACAAGTCAGTACAAGCTTTGTGGACAATTTTAGAGAAGAAAGAATTTTAGGCCTTGATTGCATGCAACTTACTAGTTTATGACCAAGTCTGAGTCCAGACTTTGGTCAATATGTTCACAATACTATAAGTTCATGTATGAGCTTCTAAGCTTTACCTCAGATTGTTGATGCCTTTTCCATTTGCATGCGTGTATGCAAGTATGTATGTTCATGCCATACAATCATCTCTTGGCTCATTCTGCTTAAGAGCAGATGGTACATGAAATTTTAAAAATGTTTTTGGCTCTGTTAATTGGATGTAATGTGGTAAATGGCAATATACGCTACCGTGTTTAGTATATATAGATATCATAGTTGTGTGTTCATTGCTGTTATCTTCATTGCAAGGTTGGGGGAGCTTGGCTATCTATCATCTTTGACAGAATTCTGAAATGTGTTTCTTTAAGCAAAGAAAAACTAATTTCTCTGAGGCATTACAGTCTTATATAAGTTGATTGTTATTAGAATAGATATCAATCTTCTAATCTTTGATGTTAAGAAAAATTTGGTTCAAAATAATGGTAATAATAATACTAAATGAAAATTTAAAGATTAAATATTTAAGGTAAACTTTTAAATTACAGCAATGGTTATATGAGCTATTCCTAACTGTATAAACAAAGTCAACAAGCTCTACTCACTAAATTCAAACTCTTATATCAAAAAAAAATATATACAAGCAAAAAATCACCTGAAAGGTAAGTGAACTAATTTTAACATGTAAGTTAAGAAATTGTAAATGACTCATTTTAAAACTTGCATTAGCTATATTAATATCAGATATGTATGGGATTCTGGTACAGATTTAGACTGTGGCTTGTGAACTGATGGTCCTTTTGCTCTCTAACTAAAAAAAAAAACAAACAAACAAACAAAAAAAACTCATTCAAAATGTCTTCCAGTAACCAGCTTTCTCATTCCAGTCAAGTTTGCCATGGGTGGTTCCTTTGACAGTGTGCCTTTCAGAATCTCTCATTTGCCTTTAATATACATTAAATTGTGTGAAAGTGATTATGGACCAATAAATATGATAACAATAATAGCTACTTTTAGTTATTTTTCTATGTCAGCCATTGCACTAGGCACTTTACATTTATTACTTTCCTTAATTTCCCCACTAATCCTATTATTGTCATCACTTTACTGATGAGCAGCTAAGGTTCATTGCAGTTAAAGTCGTCCAAGTTTATTATACGATAGTAAATGGTAGAACCACATAGAAAGTCAAGTCTCTTTAGTGTGAAAGCCTTCCCTTGCCCACCCTAGCCCTCTGCCTCAGACATTTCTCTTCCTTTATTGCCCTGTCACATCAATTATTACTTGTTAAATCTCAGGAATTTACCATCACATTCACAACCATTGGAAGTGATCTGAAAGCCTTCCTGACATCTGCATTTGTAGCCTCCTAAATAGTTGATGCAGAGCTGGGCACAGCAGGCTTCTCCATTCTCACATTCGTCAAGATCTGAAGGGGGAAAGAACACTGCTGTTATTGCAGAGATAGGAATTTAACGACCCTATAGAAGCACTGATAAGCTACACTTCTAAATTAAAACTGTTTTACTAATCATTTTCTATTTCTCAGGCCATGTAATACAAACAGCGAAGAAACCTTAACACAAAAATAAGGAGACCTACTTTTGGTTTATGTTTCTTCATGCTTCTTCTATGCCTGTTATTTATTTTAAAAGAATGTAAATAATCTCCAAATGCATTTATAGGCATAGGAAAAGTGATCTCTGCTATTTTTCTAGTTTAAACAGTAATTGGACTGAATAAACAGAGAAGTTGAAGAACAAAAAAACAGCCTAAGAAAAAAGAGCCAAAAAATTCCATTTGGTGAACATTTGACAGCTGCAAAGAGGAGACAGTCTTAGACTCCATAACATGTTTGTTCTTCCAGAACTTCAGATCAAAGAGTGTTCGCAAGCAAGTGTTCCCAACTGCCTGACTGGGAAGACAAGTGGCAACTACAGTTCTGAGAGAGGGCAGAAGACTTATTTTAAGTATTATGTTTTAAATTATAGACCATTTCAGAGCATTTGTTTGAATATTTAGATTATACTGTGACTGGGATGAGTGAGGTCTGGGGTTTTTTATTCCATCTGTGACATCATTACCCTGAAATGTCCTGTTAGGTGAGCAGTTTTCTAAGTAAGGATCTGTAAGCCTTCTTTAGCACTGTTATTTCAGAATTCTACAATCCTGAGTGCTTCTTATTAAGATATAACTGCCCTGGGGAAAATAGAAACGCACCAGAAGATGTCAAATTGTAAGTTTTCAGCCAAAGGATAACCTATTTCACCTGAGTTTTGAGGCGATCATTTCTAACATAATTGGCCAAGGAAGTAGCAACGGACACTTTGCCCTGCTTTCCTTAGGCCGAACACCTGGGAATTATTTGGTCAGGGTTTTTTTTGGCTCTAGGCCTTGGTTCAATTCAAGCCCCTCTGTTGTTGAGCTGTTAAGGTGGATGGCCTGTCAGTGCTGAGTTTACAAAATCCTACTATGCCATAACTACGTAAGCAGCCACAGATAAAAAGGGTCAATGTCTCAATTAACCCTGGAAAGGGTATCAACTCAAGAAAATGAAGACAAAAGAAAGAAAGGAAAGAAAATACAATCAATCAAGGTGAAGGGTCACCATAAAATATCTAAATGAAGGTCATTTAGACATAAAACATTCTTTTTCCCACAAAATGTCAAAAGCAGAACTACTCACAAAATTCTAAATGATATTTTTTCCTTTCTAGTATTAAACCTTCCTTTTATTAATCCTACTGATTAAATAGTATGATGTAGAGAATAAAAAACTTTTAAAAAAATTCATTTTCAAGGCTGGGCATAATAGCTCACGCCTATAATCCCAGCACTTTGGGAGACTGAGGTGGGAGGATTGCTTGAGCTGAGAAGTTCGAGGTTGCAGTGAGCCGTGATTGTACCACCTGCACTCCAGCCTGGGTGACAGGGCGAGACCCTGTCTCAAAAAACAAAAAAAACTACTCATTTCTAAAGACCAATTATTCACTAGTGTAAAGGCAATTATTCACTTGGAATGTACATATACATATTTTACTTATTTGTCTGAGAACAGATTAATGTCACAGCTGCTTCATAAAAAACAGTCATGCATGAAGGAAATCAAAGGATTTTCTTTTTATCATATATTAGTATCAACTTTGAAAAAATATATATGCGAATGTACAAAAAATGTAAAAATAAGTCAGCCAGTTAGCACATAGTTAATTAAACCTATCCAAAGGCAAAAACTTATTAGGGCTAAAACCTAGAGATGTGTTAACACAATTTGAAAGACAGGTATATAAAATGCAAGTGTCTGACTAGCAATGAAGTCACTAAATTTAACAATTGGCCAGTTATTAGAAAATATTTATTATTTAACCTTATTCAGTGACTATGTATGGGGAAGAGATACAGAAGATCAAGTTTTTCACTTTTGATGCTTTTCTGAAATCAGAGCTGAAATGTTTCAGTGTTTTGCCTGGCTGCAATTGGTCCTCTACTTTTGATTAAGGCTAAATTTTTATGTATGGATTAATTTGGGTACAATGGTAAAATATTTGGCATATTGGCCAATTTAGGAAAAATATGATCATCAGAGATGAGGACAATTAAAAGGGAAAATTAAGCATAACAAAAGAAAAGGAAATATTAAAGAATATTGAGGAAATATTAAGCATAACAAAAACAAGCAAATAAGGTATCATAATTCCTGAATGATGACAAATCACTGCTTTAGGAACTTGGAAGTATTTTCAGAATCAGGACACATAGTAACGTAGTTTAATACTTGCTATTCCTATTTACAGTAGCAAGCAAAGATCTAACAAAATAAAATTTGAAAAGAAATTTAGAAAACAGGTGATTTAACAGTTGAAGTGGCAAGACATTTTAAGAAAGGCTTGTGATGTAGGAAGAACGGGGTTTCAGATGAGTTCCAAATGAGGATGGTATACATGGGACAAACTAGAAATAGCCCCAGAGGAATGTTAATAGAAAAAGAATCCAAAATGGATCACTAAATGATAGACTGAGGGACTTGTTTTCCAATTGTGTAATGCAATGTTGCTCCTTGCTATTTGAGAACAGGGCATCTTGAGACCGATATGCTCGAAGTCTTTGGTGGTATCTGAGAAGACTTTTTAAAAATCTGAAAAACTTTTAAAAAGCCTAAAAAATAATGTTTTAGATGAAATGAAATTGAATTATTTATTTACTTATTTTTGAGACAGGGTCTTGCCCTGTCATCCAGGCTGGAGTGCAGTGGTACAATCATAGCTCACTGCAGCCTCAATATCCTGGGCTAGAGCGATCCTCTCACTTCAGTCTCCCAAGTAGCTGGGAGTGCACCACCATGCCTGGTTATTTTTTAAATATTTTATAGAGATGGAGTCTCTTGAAGTTGCTCAGGCTGGTCCCAAACTCCTGGACTCAAGCAATCCTCCCACTTCAGCCCCCAAAAGTGCCAGGATTACAGGCATGAGACTCAGTGCTTGGCTTGCATTTTCTTTTTCTTGTCGGAAAAATGAAATTAACTTGAACCATAAACAATATAACATTGTCATACTGACGGCTGAAATTTCATAAATATGCACTTTTCTACATTTTGACCCTGGCAGATGCTATTTTTTTCTAGCTGTAAATAAGAACTTTACTGAATGGTATTTTTCAAAAAATAAAGAAAACACCAAATTTAAGTCGCAAAGAAACAGTTTGGCAAAATTCCAGTTTCTCTTATCAATACTCAAAAGAGGAACAAACAGAGAGATAGAAGGAAGGAAAAGAGGGAGGGAAAAAAGAAGCAATCAAGGAAGAAAGCCCTTAATTTTTTCTATGGTTACAAATCTTATCAAGGTAGGAAATAAAAGTAAGCATATTTTTCATTAAATAATAAGAGGTGAGGAAAGCAACTGGCTTCAATATGTTACCCACTGTAGATTCTGAGAACAATATTGAAAGCAATGTTGCATAAATAAATACAATGGCATTGTTTTGAATTTATAAAACCAGAATACTGCAAAATTTCTTGAGTTTCATTCTGTGTCATCATACTGCCAAAGTAAAATGTCCTAAATATTTAAACCATTGAGTTTTTCATACTTCAAATTGTCTCTATCTAACCATATTGAGTAGTATGAAATGGTCAAAAGATTTTGTATTGTAATTTTTAACGGAGGAAATATTAAGCATAACAAAAGAAAACAAGCAAATAAGGTGTCATAATTCTTGAATGATGACAAATCACTGCCTTAGGGACTTGGAAGTGTTCTCAGAACCAGGGCACATAGTAATGTAGTTTGATACTTGCTATTCCTATTTATAGTAGATACTCCTTTTTCTCAGGAATGTTTCATTATGAAGCAAAACTAGGGTGGAATTTTAGTTTCTTCATTGTCTCAAATGATATAAACTCCAATAATATGTTGAGAAAATTAGCAATTAAAAATGGATTTGAGCTGGGAATTCCAAAGAATGAATTTTTTTAAGTTGTCTTTTAGAATATAGCTACTTGTCATATCAAAGTTGAACATACATCCCAAACATTATCAAGTTGAAAACCAGTGCAAATAATTTCGTTTCTGCTTGAGGTAGAGAACTGAGGTATGTGACAGCATTTGTTGTTGGAATTACACATTACATCACATAGTTGGATAGATCATGGAATATTTTCCTGAAATAAATCTATTAAGGGCATATATTTCATTAAAGTGTTTTAAATCTCCTTTAACTTCAAGGTAAATATCTAAATGTAATGTTGTCTTCTGACAGGTAACCCTTCTTTTACATTTATTCAGTAGCCAGAGACACTCTTCAATTTATTTGTCTTTACAGTTTGAGAGATGTGGCTCACAGTACAGCCGTAAGTACTACAGATTAAAGGGCTAAATGAATCCAGAGCAACTTTTGAATGAAATGGCATTTACCAAACATTACCTATGCATGTTTTCTCATCAGAATCAAGCTGGTGTCCATGGTTACAGGAACAACGGGGAGCACCAATTTCATGTTCACGGTGATGGGAACAAACACTATTGTTCTTTTCACAGCTATTGACAATTTCCAATTCAATCCCTTTCCAAAATGAGCAAAAGAGGATTATTAGCATAACAGACAAACCTGAATATATGTCAGTAACGGACACATTCTCTCTGTTGAGAGGATGACAAACTTTATTAGAAATCCATCAACACTCTATACACATAAAAGTAAAAGTCTGAGGGTTATTAAGCATTGTAAATGCCTATATACCACATTATATACTAATAAACATATAAATAATGTTGAGTGATACAGAAAGGTAATGATGAATACACCACTGGTTATTAAACACTTACCTTAAAGGAAACATGTTTTGGGAATTCTCAGTATTTTCAGGATATAATAGATGTAATATATATACATATATATTAAATCAATAATCAGAAATCAAATAGGTTGTTTGCTAGCTGACATTCCTGTTCTTGAGCTAATAGTATGTTATTATGCGTCCTTTTTACGGTCTATAAGCACATGAAAATACTGTTAAAAAATAACCTTGGAGCAAAGGTGTAAACATAAACCCAATGATTTAGTTGATCATATGTAACTAGGGTCATGTTGATGCACTAATGAGCTTTGATTTATACGAGAATCACTTATTACATAAACAAATTATTACTGTGAAAATCAATTTGGCTGGTACATGCTACTAATTTCAGGCATATTGGTGGGCCTGAGCCTCAGCAGATGAATGCCAATTGTCCTGAGCACACAGGCATTATAGTCTCTCATTTTCTAAGTGACAAAATAAGAATTATAAAAATGTTTAGAATCCATGTTAAAATATGGACTTTAGATACTCTGAATGCCATTTTTACCACAGAAGGTCTATGGGTCTTTATTTATGTTGTTTGAACACACCCCCTCTTACTGAGAGTGTCTACATTGATTCATTTCCTCTAAGTCTTAACTTATGAATCATTTAGAAGAAAAAAAGCTGGAGGAAAAAAAAAAAAAAAAACAAGACAAGAGTCTTTGGGATTGTAACACTCCTTGAAAGCATATGTCACCATATAAACTGCCTAGACATCCACTACAGTTCCAGAAATCATCCGGCCTACTCCCCAGCAGCCAGTCCAGGGCACAGAGCAGCCTCAGATGCTCCCAAGCACCCAGGGCACATCCCTGTCATTGTGCCCAGCCCACTGCGCCATCATCATCTTGCACTCCCCAGCTCATAACAGATGTTCAAAATAGGTTTCCAATGATTGAATAAACAAAAGAAGGATTATGCTAATCAATTTATTGTTAAAAATAAGAACCCCTTTGGGTTTAGAAACAGCTAGTTTAGGACTAAGCAAAATTAGAAAGCTAAAGGAAAGATTAGTGAAGGGAACTGATATTTTTCTTGATACATTAACATATACTCTTCAGAGAAACCTATTTCAAATGATGTCTCTGGTTGTGGTGACAGGGACACACAGATCTTTCTGATACAGAATTGAAGTTTTTTTCTGACATATGCTTGCTATTGCCATTCTTATAAAGAGACATTTTTACCTATTTATGAACCATATGTGGTATCTTAGAGTCTATCAAATTAATCTCCATCATTGCTTAGAGAGAAAAGTAAGGTCAATTGACATGAAATCACTTCAATAACATTTACGGCACTGTTGGTTGTAAAAGCCAGTCTATATTATGCAAGGTATCATATGTGCTTATTAATCTAAATATTATAAGTCATAAAAGTAACATGATTTTTGCTTAGGATCAGAAAACTGAGGTTCAGAAAAGATAAAAGACTTGCCTAAGGTAGCAGGGCTGGTAAGAATCAAAGCTTTCTAATTCAGAGATGTTTTCCTATATAATATCATTTGTAAAGAGAAAATAGCTAGGCCTGGTGGCTCACACCTCTAATCCCAGCACTTTGGGAGGCCAAGGTGTGCAGATCACTAGAGCCCAGGAGTTTGAGACAAGCTTGGGTAATATAGTGAAACCCTGTCTCTAGAAAAAAATATAAAAAATTAGTTGGGCGTGGTGGCACGTTCTTGTAGTCCCAGCTACTCAGCAAGCTGAGAGGTGGGAGGGTTGCTGGAGCTGGGGAGATCAAGGCTACAGTAAGCTGTGATCTTGCCATTGCACTCTAGCCTGGGTGACAGAACAAGCCCCTATCAAAAAAAAAAAAAAAAAAAAAAAAGGAAAGAAAAAGAGAAAATAATTTGACAAGCATGTAATCTATTTCACTGAAATGTGGTGTAATATTTTTCCTAAGAAAAGTTAGTGTGACATAATAGAAAAAGGCACAACATTTAAAGTTGGAAGATCTGACACTTTACAGCTGTGTAATCTTCAATTATTTTAAATCTCTGATCCTCAGTATTTTTCCCACTGTTAACAGAGGGATTGAGTTGCACTAAGGTTTGGAAACTAGTGGCCTGCAGTTATATGGGATTTGATTATCAAGGTGTTACAAAAGTTAAGAAAATATTAGGATTTCCACCATTTCATCACAAATTAAAGGTCTCCTATTTTTTTTTTAAAGCCAATAACCCATGTTGCATCCATTCCAAAAGATAGCTTGGGAGTTTCTTATAAACTTAAATATACACCTATCATATGACCTTGTGATTCCAGCCCTAGGTTTTTACTGAAGAGAAAAATCTTTTTTAAAACTATGTTCATATAAAAACCTGTATACAAATGTTTATAGCAGCTCTCTTCATAATTGCCAAAACCTGGAAACAACTTAAATGTCCTTCAAAGGGTGAATAATAAACCAACTATAGTATATCCATACTCATCAAAGAATAGAACTCTTCATATGAGCAACAACTTGGCTGAATCTTAATGGCATTATGTTGAATAAAAGGATACACACAGTTTAATTCCATTTATATGACATTCCCAAGAAAAGAAAATTCCAGTGAGGGAGAACACATCAAGTAGATGTCAAAGGTTAGAGACGGGGAATAAGTGACAAGCCAAGGGTAGCACCAGGGAGTTTTCTGGGGTTGACAAAACTATTCTTAATCATGATTCCAATGGTGGTTACAGAAATCTATATATTTACAATTAAAATTGATATGATTATATACTGAACATGTTAATTTTACTGTCTAAGTAAAAAATAAATTAAGAGGCAAGATAACCCTCCCTAGATTCCACATTGTTCTCCATTTACTGCCACATTGCCTAATCCTTAGCAGCACTTGATACCATTGACCATTTACTTCTCCCAACTTTTTTTTATTTTATTCTTCAGAAAATCACATTATCCAAGTTGTCCTTAAACCTTACTGGACATTCTTCTTCAGTCTTTCCTGTCTCTGTGTCACATTTTAGTTACTTAATGTTGGAGTCTACAGTCTCAGTTTCCTCCTGCTTACTCCTCCAGACACCCTCCCTTTGTAAGTGACCCCATTCTTGCTCATGGCTTAAATACTGACATTTACATCTTGACAAGCTGCTCACTCAAGCTCTGACCACCATAAACTTCTAGAATTTTCTATTTAGTTAGGAAATAGATAGAAACTACCTACATGTTATTTCTACTTGGCTCCTTAAACTTCACACAGCAGAAATAGAAGTTATGATTTAAACATACCCTATATCTCACCTCCAAACCTGTTCTTCTATTGGACTCCACATTTTGGTAAAAGACATTCGGATTCACCTGTTTCCTAAAGCCCCAAACCAAGAATTATTCTTGATTTTTCTTTTCCTCACATCCACATTAGGAATTCATCTCAGCTGTGTCTACAAAATAAATCTCAAATCTACTGCTACTAGCTTAATTAAAGCCACCACCACAGCTCACCTGAATGACTCTAATCTTGCTTTTACAGACACTCCCTACTGTCCATTCCCTAGGGAGTAGCCACAGTAGTCCTTAAACAGTGAAAATCATATGATATTACTGTTTGTTCAAAACTACCCAATGCCTTCTCGTCACATTTGGAATAAAATCCAAACCCCTTGCGACGGCCAAGTCTGATTCTTCCCTTTCCCTGCCTACTGCTCTCATTGACTGTCTCTACACCTTGTTCACTCTTTTCCAGCCTACACTGGTTTTCTGTTTCCTAAAACATCAAGCTCAGCCCTACCTTAGGGTCTTAGTTATTACTGCTCCTTTTTCTTGGATCTTCTCATTGTATATTAACACTATATAAGGTGATAGTATACATTTCTTTGATTAATTTCCTGTTTTCTATCTCCTCTATAGGAATTTAAGTTCCATAAAGGCAGGAACTTTTCCTGACTTGTTTATCATTGTATCTATAGTGTTAGGAACAGCACCTAGCACATGGTAGGTATTCAGTAAGCACTTGTTGAATAAATCAGTGGGTCTAGTACACTGGCATCACACTCCCTCTAGGTGACAGTTAGCTGGAGGCAAGCAATCAAGCAATAGCTGTCCTCTCTAGGCCCAAAACTCCCTCTCCAGTTCAAAACAGTCCTTACAATTTCCTATCTTTTATGCTTAGCCTGTCTTACACATTTATATTTATTGCCTGTCTTGTGTTGGTGTTAGAGTTTTGATCCCTGGATTAGGTTATATTTAAAATACTGAAAACTATAATAAATTTCTAATATTAATTGATTTTTTCAGGGGGGAAGAGAGGTGAAAGTATCCATTTGACAATTTTTACATAGGCTTCTCTTATTCATGCTCTTTTCCAGTGATATTGCATCAATACAGCTTTAGACTGCTGGTGGTAATTGGATTTGAATATAAATGATACCATGGTCACTTCTTTAAAGATATATGGAACTAAAAAAAGTGCAAACTCAGATCCATAACTACCTACCAGATGCAAGCTGAGATTTTGATTCTTTGATTCAGATGATAAAAAATGTTTTTATTATAGTACTTTAGAAATCATACTTAAAACATTTTTATAAGTAGCAAATATATTGTTTGCTTGCTAGATAAGATGTACATTAAATATGTGTGAAATAGTTAAACTATATTACATATTGCTTGGTAATTTGAAGGAAGTGTTCTGTATGTCAAATTTTCCAATTTCTAATTATAAGACAATGATAGCTAATTCATAGTACACTATGAAGATTCAATGGTTATACTGCAAAGTGTTTTGAGACCTGTTGAGAAAAAACTACATAAATATAAAACACTGTTCTCTAAAAAAGAAAAAAGCATCATTTCAAAACGTACTTTAGATGATGGGCACATAATTCATTGTTAAATATCATCATACTCGGCTGGGCGCAGTGGCTCACGTCTGTAATCCCAGCACTTTGGGAGGCCAAGGCGGGTGGATCACAAGGTCAGGAGATCGAGACCATCCTGGCTAACACAGTAAAACCCCGTCTCTTCTAAAAATACAAATAATTAGCCGGGCGTGGTGGTGGGTGCCTGTAGTCCCAGCTACTCTGGAGGCTGAGGCAGGAGAATGGCGTGAACCCGGGAGGCGGAGCTTGCAGTGAGCAGAGATTGTACCACCACACTCCAGCCTGGGCAACAGTGGGAGACTCCGTCTCAAAAAAAAAAAAAAAAAAAAATATATATATATATATATATATATATATATATATATATATATATATATGACATCATGGTCTAAAAGGACTTATTCCATCTATAGGTTTTGAAACAAGTCAAAAGACCAGTTTTCACTAGGAAAGGTTTGTATTTCAGTTAGTAAATATAGGTCTGGTGAGGACTGCAGAAAGAGCTTAGCCAAATATTCACAGAAGGAAAATAAATGTAAAAATAAACTTCTACCAAATGTATTCAACTTGAGAGCAAATTTCTTTCCCAAGTAAATTCTACAGAAAACTTGTATGTACCTCCTAACTTATCAATAATGACCCCCTCTTTCCTGATAACTGAGGAAGCACCAGTCAGATTACAAGAGGTTTAATTTCATACACTTGTAAAATATACTCATCCCCTAAACCTCTGGTCACATTAAAGCCAAAATACTTAAGGCAAAGAAAAATCCTTCCACACTTTTCTCGGCCTGAAAGGACTCCTTAGGGCATTAAAAAAAAAAGCCTGACTTCAGAGGAAGTTGTATCTTAATTAGTAGTCAAATTTCTCTCCCATCTTATTTAGTTTGCTCTTTAAAAGGCAAATATCACTGTAGCAAAAATGTAGTCTTTAAGCAATAAAAATATACCAACAGACCTTAAGGAGCGTAGAATTAAAGACACATAGAATTTTATGTCGGAAGGAAGAATGAGGAATTTAGTTACTCTAATAATATCTCTTCATGAAAGAGCTCAGGTAAGAAAGCTTAAATATTTATTTTATATATCACCATCTTTATTTGTTCCTTCATTAAAACTAATAAAGAGACATAACGTATATAAACACATGATGAAGCTGAAAGGATATTATATCTGAGGCAGGAAGACTCTAGGTCAAATCCTAGTTCAGTCACTTATTAATTTTCTGTCACTGAGTTCTTGACTTTGTCACTAAATGGATGATTGATTAATATGTGAAGAACTGAGAAAAGGCTCTTTGGGACTCGGACTCAAAATCAGCATTTCTGTTTTGGTTCTACCAAGTGGGAAATGCCTACCAGTCATGCAGGTAGTGATGCGGAATAGTTTGGTATATTCATATGTAGTTAAAAGGAGAGCAGTTGGATAAATTTTACATTGAGAGAAGGGCCAGAGATGGAAAGAAATACTAGAAAAATGTAGTAACACAGAAGTGAAGAGTGTTTTGAGAAGAACTCTTTTGCTCTTCTTGAACTCTTTTGTTTGTTCAAAACTACCCAATGCCTTCTTGTCACATTTGGAATAAAATTCAAACCGCTTGCGATGGCCAAGTCTAGTATAATCTGATTGTTCCCTTTCCCTGCCTACTGCTCTCATTGACTGTCTCTACACCTTGTTCATTCTTTTCCAGCCCACACTGGTTTTCTGTTTCCTGAAACATCAAGCTCAGCCCTACCTTAGGGTCTTAGTTATTACTGCTCCTTTTTCTTGGATCTTCTCATTGCATATTAACACTATATAAGATAATAGTATACATTTCTTTGATTAATTTCCTGTTTTCTATCTCCTCTGTAGGAATTTAAGTTCCATAAAGGCAGGAACTTTGCCTGACTTGAGGGTAGTCAGAAGTGTTGAAAACTACTGAGAGGTCAATTAGGATAAAATTGAAGAAGCTACCATCCAATCTGGTAGCATAGAGGTCATGGGTGACAAGTGGCAGAGTAGAGATGAAAACTTGATTAGTATGGGCTGATGAGAGAATGCAAGATGAGAAAGAGGAGACATTGGCTATAGAGTCAGACATTAGCTTTTATGAAATATGGACTCATGTGAAAGTACTTTAAAGACAGAAGATACTTGGCCATGTTGTTATGCTGATGAAAATGATGCAGAAGAAAGAACTGATAATTCAGAAAAGAGGGAAATAATTGCAAAAGCAAAGATCTTCAGATGTGAAGAGAGAATGGAACCCAAAGCTCCATGGAGAAGATGACCTTTGATAGTAATAGGGCTACCTGCTTCATATTAATAGGACTGAAGCCTTTCCATGTGAATCTATGGGAGACTTTGGTTTAATTGTTACCTTGGATGACAGTTTGCATTTATTATTTGATGACCTAAGAGATGAGATGAGGACAAAGGTCAAAAGGAGGGTGATATAAAGTTTTGGAAGAGATGTTAAACACTTATTTTGATGAGGGTAAAAGTAGACATATTCTGACAGTATGTTTGTCCACCAATGCTGCTTAATCATTTAAGATTTATGATCCTGAATTTAAAGCAAAACCAGTTAGCATGGTTATGTTTTCAACATAGTAAAATTTACCTGGTAAAGTATAGTCGTGAACTGGAAAAAGAAGGAAGAAGTCACTGAGAGAAAGATAGAGTCTGAAGATGAAGAAGAAGATGAAGAAGAAAAATGAATTGTTGATGTACCAAGACCTCTGTCTCTTGATGTACTGAGACAGAGATGGAGAAATCAGCCATAAAAATAAGAAAAAAAAATCTGCCATTTAGAAAAGGACAGAAGTAGAGATGGATGAGGATGGCAAATGTTGAGGTAGAAAACATTGAACTTGAGGAAATTTGTATCAGATAGATTAAAGCTTAGTAAAGTAGAAAGTGTGCTCATCTACAGATTAAGTAGTGGACCAGTGGGGATGACGTGTGAGGAGAACATAGTTGTAATAGCAACTATAGCTAATCGCTCAGCATATTAACATTTTAATATGTTCCTAAAAAGGGATATATTTAGTTGTATAACTGAGCCTAGGGAGGAAGATGCTAAGGTTATATGATATGGATCATGAATGTTTTGAAGAGAAGGGATAGGGAAATGAATCAGTGGAAGAAAAGACAAAGCAGGAAGCAGCTGCTCAATAGGCATAATGAAAGGAAATGAGGGAGGGAGGGGGAGGGCCAATGTGGAAGATTCTCATTAGAACATCCAATGCATGAGGCATGGTATTGCAGCTTAGAGCTGCTTCTTGTACGGTGGTTCCTTCACTCCTGCTCTTTCCTTTCTCTTGAGTTTTACAATGGAGTTATTAGTGTTCAATAAATATTGCATGGCAGAACTGATAAAGGAAGGCAGAATTTTCACAAAGATCTATGAACCCAACAAAGCCCCAAGTCAGAAAACCTGAGGCTTAATCCTTGCTAATGACACTACAGATTATTTTGCAAACCATTCTCCATTGACTCTGGGCCTCTGTTTTCTCACCTATAAAATAAAGGGGTTGGATTTTTAAGCCTCCATCCACATCCTTCTCAGGAGCTCCTGCTTTAGCAAGACACACAATGTAATTCTCTTATGTATTACTCATGTTTAATACCTGTAAAATGCCACACATTACCTGGGCTGTGACTGTTGCCAATTACTGTAACATTGTTTTCTATCAGCTCCCAGCTCAAAGCCAGTTTGGCAGGCACAAGTGAAAGATCCCATAGAGTTTACACAGCAGTGGCCACAGTAAGAAAGACCTTCAGCACACTCATTTATATCTGCAGGAAGACAGACACAACAGCTATGTCTTAGGAGCTATAATGATGACTTTTTGACAAACTACAATAATGGACCAATGCACCTGCTCCCACTTGACCCCCACCCCCAACATCCACTGTAACAGTAAGTACCACATAGGTTCCATATTCTTTATATAAAGGAGTATTTGTGAATAAGCTGACTGCTTATGACATTACCACTAGTGTTGGTCTTATGCTCTCAAACACTTCTATTAGAACCTAATAGTATCTATTAATAAGAAAAAAAGAGAAAATGAAACAAAAATGGGCCTAATCTATTCCTTATAATGCAGGGAAGAAGTCATTGTAATTTGTCTTTAGGACTATCTCTTTGATTTACATTAGTATGTGTGGCCACGGGCAAGGCAGATAAGGGGCCTTCATATTTAGCAATCCATGGTTTCTGTTATACATGTGATTGTCACAAGGGAATGCCACTTAGACACTGATACCCTCTCTCTCCTGATATCAGTAGTCAATTCTATTCAGTGTGTGTAACTTCAGTTGTGTGGCTCAGGCGATCTCTCCTTCCTCCCTTTAAGGGGATAGGTCTCACATTTTTTTAAACTGGTTCTTCCTCCATACTACATATCATCCCCACCAGGGTGCTTAAGAGAAATACTCATTCTTCTAATGTATTTGTAATAGAATAGGCAGGCAGTAATTCTGAGGATAGATTTTCTATAAATAATGTATCAGATGTTAAAATAGGAGTGTGAAAGTCAGTAGACAGATAAATATACATAACTATATCTATGTCTGCAAACATTTGTCAGTTTTCCTCAAATATTTATTTAAGATGATCCTATTCTGTGCCAGGTGCTGAGCTAGATAGGTGCTGTGGAAACAGAGGACCAAAGCAGAAATGTTCTCTGTTAGAAAAGTGTGTTTAAAAAATCCACAGAAAATATCATCTTAATTTCAACCTAAAGAAAAAAATGAAAACACAAATTTCCATTACTAATTATTTTTCGTAATTTTTATCAGTCCCATAAGTCATAATTACTTTTGTAGTTACTCCAAATAAATAGTTTCTCATTTCATGAAAATATCATGATAAAAATGGTTTCTCATTTCATGAAAATATCATGATAAAAAAAGTGATTTCTCAAAAGTTATTAAAATGAGACTTTTGACAAGACTGCCCCAGAGAAATTACTTAATGTATCAGTTCTTGTGAGGGAAGAATTTGTCACTTTCATCTTTGAATTAAAGTATGTCTGTTTTGCTAGTTCTAGGAAAGATAAATGTGTGATTTTGTATTTATAGAGTTCTTTCTTTTTTGTTTTAATTATTCCTGACTTCTGAAAACACTCATTTACATATACTTGCTTTTCAAAGGTTATCCCCACCTTCTGTAGCCTATAATAAAAAACTTCCTGTGTGGCTATAGAAGATTTTGAAATATTAATTCTGGAATTCACTTCAGAATGAGAAACAAAACGTATTAAGTCTGGAACTATCCTATGTCATTTTTTAAAATGTTACTAAGAATTTCACTGAAGTTTTATGGTATAAAAATAGCTTTCAAATGATCAAATAAGAATTTAAATGTTCCTTTTTAAGAATAAACGAAAACACCTTTTCTCCTAGCTGTTCTGACTATTCAAAACTGAATTACCACAAAATTTCAAACAATTACACAATTAATCCTTCAGTTTCAGTCTCCTACCTTCACAAATGTTTTTATCTTCAGGCAGCTGGTACCCTGCATGACAGGCACACCTGGCCGTGCCATTCTCACTCTGACATATGTGAACACATCCATTCCCACCTGTGCAGGGGTCCATTTCTGAAAGCAATTAAGCAGCAATAGTGTATAATTCATTGAGTTCAGAAAGATGTACAGAGTGAAAGGATGGACTAAGAAAGGTAAAGAGACCACTGGGACCAATGTGTTTCTCACATAAAGATGGTAAAGACTCCAGAGAGTCCTTTCCTACTTTCATGTGAAACCCATTTAAAGCAAGCCTTTTAAAAATGTTTGCACAGCTGTTATTTTTAGTTTTGTTATTTATTTGTATATAACAGTTTTACATATTTTGGGGGTACATGTGATATTTTGAAAACTGTATACAATGAATAATAACCAAATCAGGGTAATTGGGATATCCCTCACCTCAAACATTTATATTTTATTTGTTTTGGGAATATTAAAGTTCTTTTCTTCTAGCTATTTTTAAAAATGCAATAAATTATTGCTAACTATAATTTGCCTACTGTACTCTTTTACACTAGAACGTATTCCTTCTATCCAACCATGTCTTTGTACTCCGTAACCAACTTCTCTTCATCTCCCCATCCCTCTTCCCTTCCCAGTCTACCCTCTACCTCCATAAGACCCCCTTTTATAGCTCCCACATAAGAATGAGAACATGTGATATCTGTTGTTGTGAGCCTGGCTTATTTCACTTAACATAATGACCTCCAGTTCTACACATCCTGCTGCAAATGATAAGGTGGAAATTTATGCTCATGAGTTGAGAGACTTAATATTGTTAAAATCTGTATACAAGCTCAAGCTTGATTCCAATGACATTCTTCACAGAAATAAAAAAAATATAAAATATGTATAGAACCACAAATGTCCCTGAATAGCTAAAATCATCCTGAGCAAAAAGAAGAAAGCTAGAAGCATCACAAGCTCTGATTTCAAATTATACTACACAGCTATAATAACCCAAACAGCATGATATTGGCATAAAACAGACACCTAGACGAATGCAACAGAATAGAGAATCCAGAAGTAAATCCATACACTTACACTCAGTTGGTTTTTGACAAAGATATCAAGAACATGCATGGGGGAAAGGACAGTCTCTTTAATAAATGGTGCTGGATAAACTGGATATTCATATGCAGAAAAATGAAACTAGATCTTTATCTTCCACCACATGCAAAAATCAACTAACAATGGGTTAAAGACTTCATTACAAGACTTGAAACTATGAAACTACTAAAACACTAGGAAAATGCTACAGGACTTTGGTCTGAGCAAAGATTTTGGGGGGTAAGATCTCAAAAGCACAGACAACACAACAATAGACAAATGGAATTACAATAAGCTAAAAAGCTTTTGCACAGCAAAGAAAACAATCAATAAAGTGAAAAGACAACCTACAGAATGTGAGAAAATACTTACAATCTATTGGTCTGACAAGAGATTAATAACCAGCATGTGTAAGGAACTAACAAATCAATAGCAAAAAAAAACAAAAAATCAATGCAATTAAAAATGGGCAAAAGATCTGAATGGACATTTCTCAAAAGAAGATATACAAATGGCCAAGAAGTATATGAAAAACTATTCAATATCACTGATTGTGAGGGAAATACAAATGAAAATCACTAGGAGATATTACCTACCCCAGTTAGAATGGCTGTTATCAAAAAGACAAAAAGTAACAAATACTAGTGAGGATGTGGAGATAGGGGAATGCCAGTACACTGTTGGGAGGAATCTAAAGTAGTACAGTAACTATAGAAAACAGTGTAGAAGTTCCTCAATAAACTGAAAATGGAACTGCCATATGATCCAGCAATCCCACTGCTGGGTATACATACTCATAAAAAGGAAATCAGTATGCTGAAGAGGTACCAGTATTCCCACTTTTATTACAGCACTATTCACAACAGCCAAGGTATGGAATCAAACTAAGTGTCTATCAGTGGATAAAAAGACAAAGGAAATGTGGTTTACATATATAATGAAATAATATTCAGCCATAAAACCCTTTTTCATTTTGGATCTGAACCCTCAAATGTGAACAAATTAAATGTAGATCAAAGCTGAAGTGGCGTTTGCTTAATTGCACTCTTCTCCAAAGTTTATCTCCTGCCCTGTGGTACCCAAGTTAGGTAAAGAGTCAGCAGGAACTCCTTCTGACTCCTCTGCTCTTTTTCCCAGTCTTTCCCTATCTTTTCTCCTTTGCACAGCAGGATCATTCATAGATAAAATCTACTACCTTCTCTAGGTTTCCTCTGACTTTGGATAAGAGGTGACAGTGTGAGGAAAAGGAAGACTGGAGAGATGTGTGAGGGCCCTCGCTACAGCTGCTGTGGGGATAGTGATAAAGAAGTTAAAATCCCATTGGATTAAGTAAGCTAGCCTTTCTCCCCTTTACTTGTTCCTGTTTCAATGGATGTTAGTAATATTCTCTGGAAGTTCAAAGTAATGGGCGGCCACACATCCTATGAGGATTACCTCCACACACTGCTTATTTGTCAGTCATTCTAGTCTGATTCTATGAATCCAGGCTTGTCTATCTTACAGACTGCTAGAGTGGGGCAAGATAATTTCCAATCCTGCTCCTCTCCCATACTTTTAAAAAATAATGCAGGGTGTAAAAAGAAAAACAATATATATAGTCAACCTGCCCCACATTTATCCAGTTTCAACCCAACTATTATGATACATAAATGCTTTCATTAGTTTCTTGTGAATGTTTCTAGACATTCTTTATGGAAATATAAGTAATACAGAACAATATACATTGTTCTACTCCTTGCTTTTTTTGATAGAGAGGGATTGAGTTGAATCTGCAGATTAATTTGGGGAGTATTGCCATTTAAACAATAGGATGTCTGATCTATGAACATGAGATATCGTTCCATTTGTTTAGATTCTTACTTCAGAAATGTTTCCTAGTTTTCAGTATATCACTTTTGCACTTATTAAATTTGTTCTTATGCATTTTTTTCTTTTTGATGCTGTGGTAAATGGAATTGTTTCTTAATTTCACTTCTGCATGCTCTATGCTAGTATATTAAAATATAATTTTTGTGTTCATCTTGTATCATGCAAATTTGTTGAATTTTTATTAGTTCTAATAGTTTTTAAAAGTATATTTTTAAGAATTTTCTATACACAAAATCATGTCATCTGCAAACAGATATTTTATGTTTCTTTCAATAATGATGCCTGCTATTTGTTAGTTTATTTATTTATTTGTTTATTTTGACACAGGGTCTCACTCTGTTGCCCAGGCTGAAATTCAGTGGTGTGATCATGGCTCACCACAGCCTCTATCTTCAGGGCTCAAGTAATCCTCCCACCTCAGCCTCCTGAGAAGCTAGGACTACAGACATGTGTCACCATGCCCAGCTAATTTTTGTATTTTTTGTAGAGATGAGATTTCTTCATGTTGCCCAGACTGGTCTCGAACTCCTGGTCTCAAGTGAGCCACGCACTTTGGTCTCCCAGATTGCTGGGATTACAGCCATGAGCCACCCTGCCCAGCCACATGCTTTTTATTTTCTTATCTCATTGCTCTGTCTGGAACCTCCAGTACTATGTTGAATAGAAGTGATGTGAACAGACATCCTGTCTTATTCTTGATTTTAGGGGGAAAGCTTTGATTATTTCACAATTAAGTGTGATGTGAGCTGTGGGTTTTTAATAGATTCCCTTACCAGGTGAGGAAGTTCTTTTATATTTCTAGTTTTTTCAGTGATCTTATCACGAAACTTTGTTGGATTTTGTCAAGTGCTTTTTTCTGTATCTATTGAGATGATCATATGGTTTTTGTCCTTTATTCTATTGACATGGTGTATTACATTGTTTTCAGATGTTGAATGAACGTGTTTTCCTGAGATAAAATCCACCTGACCATAGTGTATAATTAATCCTTTGCATATGTTGTTAGATTTAGTTTCCTAGTATTTTGTAGAAGATTTTTACATCTATACTTATAAAAAATATTAGTCTGTAGCTTTTTTTCTTGTGATATCTTTGTATTATTTTGTATCATGGCAACTTTGGCCTAATGGAATGAGGTAGGAAGTGGTCTCTCTTCTTCTATATTTTGGAGAAATTTGTGAATAATTTATATTAATTTTTAAATATTTGGTATAATTCACTAAAACAATTTGGGCCGGGGTTTTCCTTTGTGAGAAGTTTTAAAATAATTAACCCAATCTCTACTTATGATATGTCTAATCTGAGAAACTAATTTCTCAGATTTTCTATTTCTTGAGAAGGTAGTTCCAGTAATTCATGTCATTCTAGTAATTTGTTCATCTGTTATCTAATTTGTTAACCTACAATTGCTCAAAGGATTCCTTTTTCCTCTTTTTTGTTCTGTATGGTCAGTAGAGAGGTCCTTTCATTTTTGATTTCAGTAATTTGAATCTTCCCAGTTTTTAAACACACATCTAACTTGAGGTTTTGCATTTTACTGATCTTTTCAAACAATGTAATTTTGCTATCATTGATTTTCTCTGTTGTTTTTCTGTTTTTTACTTTATTATTATCCATCTATACTAATCTTTATTATTGCTATCCTTCTACTAGTTCTAGGTTTAGTTTGATCTTGTTTCTCCAGTGTTTCAGGGTGGGAAGTGAATTGATTGATGTAGAATCCTTTTTCTTTTTTACTACAGGCATTGGCAGCTATAATTTCTCTTTATCACTGTATAGCTACATTTCATAAGTTTTGGTGAATTGGGTCTTATTTAGACTCTTCTGAAAGTGTTGTCTAATTTTTCTCATGATTTCTTCTTTGACTCATTGCTTATTTTAAAATGTGCAAGTTACTTTTCTTAGGTGTTATTTTTTTAGAGCACTTTTAGTTTTGTAGCAAAATTGCGAGGAAGGTACAGAGATTTCCCATATACCCCCTGCTGTCACACATACATACATACACACATACATAATCTTCCTTATTATCAACATTACCCAACAGTATGGTACGTTTGTTACAATTGATAAACCTACATTGATGCATTATGGTCACCCAAAGTCCTTAGTTTACATCAAGGTTCACTCTTGGTGTTGAACATACTTTGGGTTGGGATAAATATATAATGCAATGTATCCACCATCATAATATCATACAGAGTATTTTCACTATTCTGAAAATCCTCTGTTCTGCCTCTCTGTTCCAATCACTGATCTTTTTACTATCTCCACAGTTTTGCCTTTTCCATAATATAATATAGTTGGAATCATGTGATATGTAGCCTTTTCAGATTGGCTTCTGTCACTTAGTAATATGCATTTAAGATTCCTCCATGTTTTTTATAGCTTGCAGCTCGTTTCTTTTTAGGGCTGTATAATATTCCATTGTTTGGATGTACCACGGTTCATTGATATAATCACCTATTGAAGGACATCTCGATTGCTTCCAAGTTTTGGTAATTATAAGTAAAGCAGCAGTAAACATCTATGTGCAGATTCTTCTGTGGGTGTAAGTTTTCAGCTCCTTTGATTGGATATAAAGGAGCATTATTACTGGATGATTATTGCTGGATCATGTGGTAAGAATATGCTTAGTTTTGTAAGAAACCACCAAATTGTTTTTCAAAGTGCCTATATTATTTTGCATTCCCACCAGCAATGAATAAGAGTTCCAGTAGCTCCACATCCTCATCAGCTATTGATATAATCACTGTTTTGAAATTTGGCCATTCTAATAAGTGCGTAGTGGTATTTCATTGTTGTTTTAATTTGTGTTTCCCTAAAGATATGATGTGAAGCATCTTTTTATATGTTCATTTTTCATCTGTATATCTTCTTTGGTGAGGTGCTTCTTAAGATATTTAAACCATTTTTAATTGGGTTGTTTATTTGCTTATTGATGACTTTCAAGTGTCCTTTGTATATTTTAGATAAGTTTTTTAATCAGATACATCTTTTGCAAATATTTTATTTTAGTATTAGCTTATCTTCTCATTCTCTTGACATTGCCTTTTGTAGAGCAGAAAATTTCAATTTTCATACAGTCTAGCTTATCAATTATTTCTCTCATGGAAGATGTTTTGTTGTTGTATCTAAAAAGTGATTGCCAAAGCCAAGGCAATTTAGATTTTCTCCTATGTTTTCTTCAAGGAGTTTTATAGTTTTGCATTTTACATTTAGATCCATGATCTATTTTGAGTTAATTTTTGTGAAGAGTGTAAGGTCTACATCTTTTATTTTATCTGTCTTTTATTATTATTTGCATGTGAATGTCTAGTTGTTTCAGCATTATTTGTTGAAAAGACTATCTTTTTTTCATTGTATTGCCTTTGCTCATTTGTCAAAGGTCAGTTGATGTCTTTGTGTGGGTCTACGTCTGGACTCCCTGCTCTGTTTCACTGATCTATTCATCTATTCTTTTACCAATACCATGTTATCTAGAATACTGCAGCTTTATTGTAAGTCTTTAAGTTGGGTCTTGTCTTCGTCCTCCAATTTTGTTTTTCTCCTTCAATATTACATTGGGTATTTAGGGTCTTTTCCCTCTCTATATACATTTTAGAATTAGTTTTTCAATATCCATGAAATAATTTCCTGGAATTTTTATTGAGATTGCATTGGAACTTCATCAAATTGGGAAGAACTAACATCTTGACAATCTTGAGTTTTTCTATCCATGAACATAAAATATTTAATTACTTAGTTCTTTGATGTTCATCAGTTTTGTAGTTTTCTGCATGTAGATTTGGTATTATATGGTTAAATTAAAATTTCACTTGTTCATTGCTATATATAGGAAAACAATTTACTAAGCTTATTCTTCATATTCTGCAATCTTGGTATAATCACTTATTAGTTCCAGGAGAGTTTTTTACTCTTATTTTGCATTTTCAACATTGATGATCATGTCATCTGTGAATGAAGACAATTTTATTTCTTACTTTCCAATTTGTAGACTTTTTATCTGCTTTTCATGTTTTATTGCATTAGCTAGGAATTCCAGCACAATATTGCAAAGAAGTGGTGAGAGAGGATCCTTGGTTTGTTTTTGATATTAGTGAAAAAGTTTACAGTTTCTTATCATTAAGTATGATGTTAGCTGTAGGATTTTTGTAGATTGTTTTTATCAAGTTGACAAAGTTTCCCTTTATTTCTATTTTACTGAGAATTTTTATTATATTGGTTTTGTCAAATGCTTTTCCCCCAGTCTATTGATATGATCATGCAATTTTTCTTTTTTAGCCTGTCAATGTGATGGATTGCATAATTTATTTTCAGATGTTGAACCAGTCTTGCCTGCATGCAATAAATCCCACTTGATTGTGGTGTGTAATTTTTTATACATTGTTGGATTCTATTTGCTAATGTATTTTGAGGATTTTTGCATTTATGTTTATGAAAGATATTGGTCTGTTCTTTAGTTTTCTTTTCTTGTAATAATCTTATCTGGTAATGATGGTCTTATTGGAAGAATTAGGCTGTATTCCTTCTGCTAATATCTTCTGAAAAATATTAAAGATAATTTGTATAATTTCTTCTTTAAATGTTTGGTAGAACTCACTAGTGAACCCATCTGGCCTACTGCTTTCTGTTTTGGAAGGTTATTAATTGATTCAATGTTTTGCTAGACCTGGGACTATTCAGATTATCTATTTCTTCTTGTGTGAGTTTTGGCAAACTATGTCTTTCAAGGAATTGGTTCATTTCATCTAAGTTAGCAAATTTGTGCATATAAAGTTGCTCATAGTACTCTTCTTTTTTTTTTTTTTTGAGATGGAGTCTCACTCTGTCATCCAGGCTGGAGTGCAGTGGCCCAGTCTCGGGTCACTGCAAGCTCCACCTCCTGGGTTCACGCCGTTCTTCTGCCTCAGCCTCCTGAGTAGCTGGGACTACAGGGGCCCGCCACCACACCCAGCTAATTTGTGTGTGTGTGTGTGTGTGTGTGTGTGTGTGTGTGTTTTTAGTAGAGATGGGGTTTCACGGTGTTAGCCAGGATGGTCTTGATCTCCTGACCTTGTGAGCCACCCTCCTCGGCCTCCCAAAGTGCTGGGATTACAGGCGTGAGCCACCGCGCTTGGTCTGTTCATAGTATTCTTTAGTTATCCTTTTAATATTCAAGCAATATATAGTGATATCCCCTATTCCTTTTTGATAATAGTAATTGATGTCTTCTCTCTTTGTTTTTAGTTATCTTGACTAGAGCTTAGTGATTTTATTGATCTTTTCAAGAACCAGCTTTTGGTTAAATTTTTTTCTTCTATTGATTTTATGTCTTGAATTTCATTAATGACTCCTCTAACTTTTTTATTTCTATTTTTCTGCTTACTTTGGATTTAATTTGCTCTTCTTTTTCAAGTTTTCTAAAGTGGGAACTTAGATGTTCGAGTTTAGATCTTTCCTTTTTTCTAATATATGCATTCAATGCTGTAAATATCTCCCTGAGCACTGCTTTTGCTATATCCCACATGTTCTAATAAGATGTGTTATTTTACTATCCAACAGTGTAAATGTATTAAGTTGTGTTAGACTATGGATATTCAAAGTGATTATTTGTATACTTGAATTAATATTTGCCATATTTGTTGCTGTTTCCTTTTGCTGCGTTTGTTCTTTGTTCCTATGTTTGTTTTCTGCTCTTTGCCTTTTGTGGTTTTCATTGAGCATTTTACGATTCCATTTTCTCTTCTTTCTGAGCACATCAGTTATACTTCTTTCTTTTTACACTTTTTAGTGGTTGCCCTAGTTTGCAATATACATCAAATCCAAGTCCACTTTCAAATAACACTATTCTGCTTCACAGGTAGTATGAGTACCCTATAATAACAAAATAATCTTGATACTTCTTTTCCATTCTTTGTATCATTGCTATTATTCATTCCAATTACACATAAGCATATAAAAATCTATATATATATTAGAATACATAAGCAAATACACTATTGCTATTATTTCGAACAAACTATTATCTTTTAGATTAAGAAGAAGAAAAATGTTTTTATTTTACTGTTAGTTATTTTTTCCAGTGTTATTTCTTTCTTTATCATGATCCAAGTTTTTGAGCTATATTATTTTCCTTCCCTATCCTTTTCTTGCAAAGCAGGTCTAGTAGCAATAAACCACTGTAATTTTTGTTTATCTGAGAAAATCTGTATTTCTCCTTCACTTTTGTAGTGTAATTTCACAGAGTACAGAATTCTAGGTTGGCGAGATTATTTTTTTTTCCCACTCAAGACATTAAAAATTTTACCCTACTCTCCTCTTGCTTGCCTGGTTTCAGAGGAGAAGTTGGATATAATTCTTATCTTTGTTCCTCTAAAAATAAGGTGCTTTTTTCCTCTTACTTCTTTCAGAATTTTTTTTAATATTTGATTTTAGCACTTATCCTGCTTCATTTTCCCTTAGCCTTCTGGATCTGTGATTTGGTGTCTGACATTAATTTGGGAAAAATTCTAAAGCATTATTGTTTTAAATATTTCTCCTGTTTATTTCACTTTTTTTCTCCTTCTAGTGTTCTGTTTCTGTTTATGTTACACCTTTTATAGTTGTCACACACTCCCTGAATATTCTGTTCTGTTTTTTTTTGTTTTTTTTTTTTCTATTTTTTGGTTGTTCTTGAAGCAGCATCATTGTCTGGGGTAAATACCTAAGGTTCGTTGTCTCATGCCAGAGAAATCTAGGACAAGAAGTGAGTTTAACAGTGGAAGTTTAATAGGCAAAAGAAAGAGAATAGCTCTCTCTCCTGCAGAGAGAGAGGGGCTCCCAAGCGGGTCCTCCAGTTTTGTGATGAAATGCACAGGTTTTAATAGACAAGCTTGAGAAGGCGGTGCCTGATTTACATGGGGCCCAAAAGATTGGTTGGTTGGACCAGGTGTGTCATTTACATAGCACATGAAGAAGCTGGCTACCCCACCCTAATCTTTTTATCATGCAAATGAGTTCTCTACCTGGCCTGTGCCATTACATCTGTTCCTTACAGTTCACACAGTTGACAAAGGAAAGGGAAGATGGAGTCCCATGTTGAACATGCCTGGCCTCCAGGTAGCCTTTTTCTATTGTCAAAGCTGCTGGCATTTACCCGTGAAAGCTTCTAGCTTGCTTTTCTACATCTGCAGTTTGATTTTTCAGGCTGCATTTTGCTAGAAACAAAAATGATTTGAGGCTGCTTTTTGTTAAAAGGGAAGCCTTACAGAGGACTTTCTTACTGTGATGGTTAATACTGAGTGTCAACTTGATTGGATTGAAGCATGCAAAGTATTGATTCTGGGTATGTCTGTGAGGGTGTTGGTGTTGCCAAAGAGATTAACATTTGAGTCAGTGGGCTAGGAAAGGCAGACCCACCCTTAATCTGGGTGGGCACCATGTAATCTGCTGCCAGCGCAGCCAGAATGTAAAGCAGGTAGAAAAATGTGAAAAGCCTAGACTGGTTTAGCCTCCCAGCCTACATCTTTCTCCTGTGCTGCATGCTTCTGCCCTCAAACATCGGACTCCAAGTTCTGCAGCTTTGGGACTCAGACTGGCTTCCTTGCTCCTCAACTTGCAGATGGCCTATTGTGGTACCTGGTGATGGTGTGAGTTAATATCACTTAATAAACTCCCATATATATATACACACACATATATATATACACATATATATACACACACATATATATACACACATATATATACACATATATATACATATATATATATACATATATATATTTCCTATTAGTCAGTCCCTCTAGAGAACTCTGACTAATACACTTACCCTCACTGCCTAAATAATTTCTTTTTAGCTATTGTATCATCTTCATTACTTGTTGTTTTGAAGGTTTTTATTGTTATAGCCTCAGGCTCAGAGATTCTTTCCTCAGCTGTGTCCAGTCTACTAATAAGCTCATCAAAGGAATTCTTCACTTCTGTCACAGTGTGTCTGGAATTGGTGGGTTCTTGGTCTCACTGACTTCAAGAATGAAGCCACGGACCCTCGGGGTGAGTGTTACAGCTCTTAAGGTGGTGCATCTGGAGTTTGTTCCTCCTGACGTTCGGATGTGTTCGGAGTTTCTTCCTTCTGGTCGGTTTGTGGTCTCACTGGCTCAGGAGTGAAACTGCAGACCTTCGCGGTGTTACGGCTCATAAAGGCAGTGTGGACCCAAAGAGTTAGCAGCAGCAAGATTTACTGCAAAGAGCGAAAGAACAAAGCTTCCAAACTGTGGAAGGGGACCCGGGCGGGTTGCCACTGCTGGCTTGGGCAGCCTGCTTTTATTCTCTTATCTGGCCCCACCCACATCCTGCTGATTGGTAGAGCCTAGTGGTCTGTTTTGACAGGGCACTGATTGGTGCGTTTACAATCCCTGAGCTAGACACAAAAGTTCTCCACGTCCCCACCAGATTAGCTAGATACGGAGTGTGGACACAAAGGTTCTCCAAGTCCCCACCAGAGTAGCTAGATACAGTGTCGATTGGTGCATTCACAAACCCTGAGCTAGACACAGGGTGGTGATTGGTGTGTTTACTAACCTTAAGCTAGATACAGAGTGCCAATTGGTGTATTTACAATCCCTGAGCTAGACATAAAGGTTCTCCAAGGCCCCAACAGAGTAGCTAGATACAGAGTGTCGATTGGTGCATTCACAAACCCTGAGCTAGACACAGGGTGCTGATTGGTGTTTACAAACCTTGAGCTAGATACAGAGTGCCGATTGGTGTATTTACAATCCCTTAGCTAGACATAAAGGTTCTCCACGTCTCCACCAGACTCAGGAGCCCAGCTGGCTTCACCCAGTGGATCCAGCACCAGGGCTGCAGGTGGAGCTGCCTGCCAGTCCCGCACTGTGCGCCCGCACTCCTCAACCCTTGGGTGTCGATAGGACTGGGCACTGTGGAGCAGGCAGCTGCGCTCCTTGGGAGGCTCGGGCAGCACAGGAGCCCAGGGAGGGTGGGGGGTGGGGTGCGGGGGGAGGCTCAGGCATGGTGGCTGCAGGTCCAGAGCCCTGCCCCACGGGAAGGCAGCTAAGGCCCAGCGAGAAATTGAGCACAGCAGCTGCTGGCCCAGGTGCTAAATCCCTCACTGCCCGGGGCTGGTGGGGCTGGCCGCCACTCCGAGCACGGTGTCCGCCGAGCCCACACCCACCCGGAACTCACGCTGGCCCTTAAGCACCCACGCAGCCCCGGTTCCCGCTCGCGCCTCTCCCTCCACACCTGCCCACAAGCTGAGGGAGCCAGCTCTGGCCTTGGCCAGCCCAGAAAGGGGCTCCCATGGTGCAGTGGTGGGCTGAAGGGCTCCTCAAGTGCCGCCAAAGTGGGAGCCCAGGCAGAGGAGGCCCCGAGAGCGAGCGAGGGCTGTGAAGACTGCCAGCACACTGTCACCTCTCAACAGTATTTTTGATCTGTAGCATTTCTTTTTGTTTCTTTCCTAGGATTTCCATCTCTATGCTTACATTTGCCCATCTGTTCTTGCATGCTGTCTACTTTATCTGTTAGAGCCCTTAGCGTATTTTTCATTGTTGTTTAAAATTTCAGGTTTGATCATTTCAATATCCCTGCCTTACCTGGTCCTGATGCTTACTCTATTTCTTCTAATTCTTTTTTTTTTTTCCTAGTAATTTTTTCTTCATAGTCAGAAATGATTTACCATGTAAATGGAACTGCTGAAAATAGGCCTTTAGTAATATCTTGTTAAGGGATGGGGGGAAGGAAACCATTCTGTAGTCTTATGATTAGATCTCAGTGTTTCAGTGAGCCTCTGGACTGTGTCTCTGGACTATGAACCTCCCAATAGTCTCAATTTCTCAGCCCCCCTTCCTTTTCCATGAGATAGGATGGCTAGATTTGGGTATTTCCCTTCCCACATGTCAGTTAGGCTACAAAACCTCAGCAGACAAGGCTCTGTTTGAATAGCTTCTCCTGAGGGCAGGCCTTGTCAAAGAGCAGTGTACTCTGGTGTATTTCCTCTCCCTGTACTTGAAACACAAGGGAAGTCTTCCTCCAGTATTTACTATGAGAACCTGGTCATACTCTTGCAGGTTAAACTCACATACCCCACCTCTTCTTGGCAGGATTCCATTGGGATATACAAGTCTCAGATTTGTCCTCTCTGAGTCTCTAGCAATTTATCAATTATAGTTCAGGTTTTTATACCTGGCACTGGTTCCTGCAGCAGTTTTGCTTGTAAGTCTCTGCTGTGGTAAACCCATGACTCCCTGTATTAATCTTATTATCTCTCCAATATTGTGGGAAGCAGTTTGTTCTATATCCTCACCTCTCTGATGAATCCTAGAAAATTTGTTATTTTTCAGTCTGTTCTGTTTTTTTACTTGTTAGAAAACTGGATGGAGTGGTGACTTCCAAGCTCCTTATATGCAGCATTAAGAGCAGAGATTTAAAAACTGTTAAATCCTTCTCCTTGCTTCCTTACATAATATATCATGGAGATCCTTTCACTTTAGAGCATAAAGAAGACTTTATTTTAGTCTGTTTTTAGATTTGTATTACCTTCTGTTGTATGAATATATCATCATTTATTTAAACCTTCACCTTTTAATGGATATTTGGGTTGTTCCCAGTCTTTTGCTATTACAAACAGTGGTTGAAAGAATAAATATGTCTAGATGTAATTTTACATACATGGAAATATATATAAATTAAATTGCTAGGTCAAACATCAGAGGAAATACATGTTTGTAATTAGATGTTTGAAAGTTTGAATTTCTCTTGCTTGTAATTGTACATATTGACCTTTCCATTAGCAAAGTAAGAGTGTGTTCCCACATTTTGACAGATTCTGTTATTAAAATTTTATGGTTTTAAACATCTAATAAATAAAAAGATATTTCATGGTAGCTCCAACTTATAAGTCATATATTTAGAGTGACATAGAACTTATACATCTAATAGTTATTTTTATTTCCACTGTATGCCTCTTGGTGTCTTTTGCATCTTGTTTGATTGATTACATTATCTTTTTCTCTGATTTTTTGTATTAAAGGGATTAGCCCTTTTTGATATGAATTGTATTGCAAATGTATTCCTAACTTGTTCTGTTGACATTATCTTATGGTACATTTTGCTGTTGAGAAATGCTCTGTCTTTTCTTTTAGCTTTTATAGGAGGTATTCAATTTTTCTTCTAGTACATTTAAGATTTATTTATTTTTTAACATTAAAATATAATCCATTTTAGATGTATCTTGTTAGGATATAAAGTAGAGATTCAACTTAAGTTTTTCCAAGTGGCTATCCAAGTTCCCAAGAAAACTGAGATGTCATCTTTATCATATGTTAAAGTATATATATATATTCATATTAATTTTTATACTTTCTATTTTATTCCTTTATTCTTTCTCACTATTTATATCCTAATATCACATAAATTTAAATATTAGGCTTTATAAAATATTTTAATATCTGAAAGAGCTAATTTCCCTTAATTGCTCTTTTTCAAAATTATCACTTTTTGTTGTTTATTTTTATATATGATCTTTATAAAAAGTCTCTTTAGTTTGAATTTTTCAAAGGGTTTTCTTTAATGTGTTCTGTGCAACATTTTCCTATTGGCAATTACTTTTTATTTGATGGTAAATATTGTTTCCCACTTCTATACTCTTCTCTTACAATAAATTTCTGCTGATGCTTTTCAGATTCTTCAATATTAGCCTTTACTTAATAGCAGCCTTTATTTGCTAGTATATATTTACTTTATTTACTATTTCCTTTGTTAACTTTTTTTCAGGAAGTTCTGGTCAGGGTAAGGGGCCATTGTAAACTTCCAGGCTTCATAGTCTAAAAGCTCTCTCCTTCTCTATTGCCACACAGGCAGATTGCTCCTCAAATACATGGCATCTTTATGTGAATCTCTGTGTGCCTCATTTTCTGTGCTTCTCCAAATCAAAACAGGTTAAACAGGCTCTACCTTGGCCCCTTTCAGCCATCACTAGAGCAGCTGGGATGCAGGGCACAAAGTCCCTAGGCTGCACACAGCATGAGGACCCTGGGCCCACCCCATGAAACCACTTTTTCCTCCTAGGCTTCCAGGCCTGTAACAGGAGAGGCTGCCATGAAGACCTCTGACATGGCCTGAAGACATTTTCCCCATTGTCTTGGAGATTAACATTTGGCTCCTCATTACTTATGCAAATTTCTGCAGCCGGCTTGGATTTCTTTTCAGAAAATGGGATTTTCTTTTCTATCACATTGTCAGGCTGCACATTTTTCAAACTTTTATGCTCTGCTTCCCTTATAAAACTGAATGCCTTTAACTGCACCCAAGTCACCTCTTGAATGCTTTGCTGCTTAGAATTTTCTTCCACCAGATGCCCTAAATCATCTTTCTCAAGTTCAAAGTTCCATAAATCTCTAGGGCAGGGGCAAAATGCCACCAGTCTCTTTGATAAAACGTAACAAGAGTCACCTTTGCTCTGGTTCCCAACAAGTTCCTCATCTCCATCTGAGACCACTTCAGCCTGGATTTCATTGTCCATATCGTTATGAGCATTTTGGTCAAAGCCATTCGACAAGTCTCTAGGAAGTTCCAAACTGTCCCACATTTTCCTGTCTTCTTCTGAGCCCTCGAAACTGTTCCAAACTCTGCCCGTTACCCAGTTTTAAAGTGGCTTCCACATTTTTGGGTATCTTTTTAGCAGCATCCCACTACTCATACCAATTTACTGTATTAGTCCATTTTCAGGCTGCTGATAAAGACATACCTGAAACTGAACAATTTATACAGGAAAAAGAGTTTAATGGACTTACAGTTCCATGTGGCTGGGGAAGCCTCACAATCATGGCAGAAGGCAAGGAGGAGCAAGTCACGTGTTACATGTATGGCAGCAGGCAAAGAGAGAGCTTGTGCAGGGAAACTCCCCCTTATAAAACTATCAGATCTTGTGAGACTTATTCACTATTATGAGAACAGCATGGGAAAGACTTTCCCCCATGATTAAATTATCTCCCACCAGCTCCCTCCTACAACATGTGGGAATTCAAGATGAGAGATTTTGATGGGGACACAGCTATATCTGTGGCTATATCAGATAAATTAGATCTTAGAGCAAAAAAAAAAGATACCAGAAATAGGAAGGGACATTTTATAATAATAAAGGAGTCAATCAACCAATGAGAGATAACAACCCTAAATGTATGTGCACCAAAAAATAAAATAGTGAAATATGTGAGGCAAAAGCTGTTAGAAATGGAGGAGAAATAGACTAATGCACAATTATAGTTGGGGACTTCAACAGCACTCTTGTACCAATTAAAAATAGAACTAGACACAAAACTAGCATCAACAAAGAACTCAATACCGTAAGACCGTAGGATCTACTTGACATTAACTACTCTACCCAGTGATAGCAGAATACACATTCTTGTCAAATGCTCACAGAATATATACCAAGATAGACTACATCTTGAACCATAAAACAAACCTAAAAAATGTAATGGAATTAAAATCAAACCACAATGGAATCAAATGACAAATCAATAACAGAGAGATAATAGGAAAAGCTCCAAACACATGATAACTAAGCAGGAGACTTCTATGTAATTCATAAGTCAAAGAGGAAGTGTCAAGGGAAAATAAATACACTTAGCTGAATAAAAATAAAAATACAATATCAAAAATTTGAACTCACAGCTAAAACAGTGATGAGAGGAAAATGTACAGCATTAAATGTTTGCATTGAAAAAGAGGAAAAGTCTTAAATCAATAATTTTAACTTCTACTTTAAGAATTTAAAATAAGAAGAGCAAAATCAACCCAAAGAAAGCAAAACAAAGAAAATAATAAAGATAATACAAGAAATCAATAAAATTGAAAACAGAAAAGCAATACAGAACATTATTGCAATGTTGTCAATAAAATTGACAACAAAAGATTAACAATGAAAAAAAAAGAGAAGACACAAATTACCCATATCAGGAATAAAACAAGGATATTACTACGGACACCGATGATAATAAAACTATAATAAGGAACTACTACAAATAATTATACACATAAATTTGGCAACTTAGACAAAGTGGGCTAATTCCTCAAAAAACACAAGCTACCACAACTCACTCATAAGAAATAGATAATTTGTATAGCCCTGTAACTATGAAACAAATAATTCATCATTTAAATAGTCTCAAAAGAAAAATATCTAGACCCAGATGGTTTCACCGAATAATTCTACCAAATGTTTAAAGAACAAATAACAATAATTCTACAATTTCTTCCAGAAAACAGTGTAGCTAGTATTTTCCTGATACCGAAATCAGGCAAAGATATTAAGAGAGAAAGAAAGAAAAGAAAAAAGACAGACAGACAGACAGATGGACAGACAGAGAGAGAAGAAAGAAAGAAGAAAGAAATTCTTATGATGATTTGTGTATCATCAAAATACACCAATGTCACTCATGAATAAAGATGCAAAAATCCTTAACAAAATACGAATGAAACTTTTATACATATATATACTATATATGTACTATATATGTATATACTATATATATATATTTGTACAAAAAATATGCAACATGATCAAATGGAATTTATTGTACCATGCAAAACAGGTCAATATTAAAAAATCAATCAATCTAATTCACCATAATCATAGAATAAAGAAGACAATTCGTATGATAATCAATCAATGCAGAAAAAACCATTTGGCATAATTCAACACCCATTCATACTTTTTTTAAAATCTCAGAAAAAATGAGAGTATTGAAAACTTCTTCAACTTGACAAACAGTATATTCAAGAAACCTAAAGCTAACATTACAGTTGTTCCTCAACATCCATGGGAGATTGGTCCCAGGACCCCTCATGAATACAAAAATCCATGGATGCCCAAGTCCTTTATATAAAATGATGTAGTGTTTGCATATAGCCTCTGCACATTTTTTCATATACTTTAAATCATCCCTGGATTACTGATAATACCTAGTACAGTGTAAATGCTATGTAAATAATTGTTATACTGTATTCTTAGGGAATAATGACAAGAAAAAGTTCTGTATACATGTTCAGCACAGACACAACGATTAAGTTTCTTTAAAAATTTTTGTTCCATTGTTGATTAAATCCACAGATAAAATGCCACAGATATGAAGGACCATCTGTATATTCAATGGTAAAAGACCAGATTCTTTCCCTCTATGACTGACAGCAAGGCAAGAATGTTTACTCTCATGACTCTATTCAATGTAGGGTTGGAAGTTCTAGCCAGTGTATAAAGGCAAGAAAAGTAAATAAAATAACAACAGATCAGAAAAGCAACGAAATGGTTTCAATTTGCATATAATTGTCAGGAAATCTTAAGGAATTTATAAACTCCAAAACTAAAAAACGAGTTCAACAAGTTAGCAGAATAAAAGATAAACATAAAAAATCAGTTATATTCTATATATTAGTGACAAACACATGGACAGTAAAATTAAAGGGCAATAATATTTACCATAGCTCAAAAAGAGAAAAGATGTAAATCTAACAAGATATTTATAGATCTTCTATACTAAAATCTATAAAATACTGATAAACAAAATTAAAGATAGATAAATTGAGAGATATATTGTATTTGTGGCTTGGAAGACTCAGTGTAATAAAAATATGAGTATTTTCCTGAAATTGATATACAGGATTAATACAATTCTTATCAAAATCCAAGCAACATTATTTGTATATAACCAAGTTTTTCCAAAAAATATATGAAAAGGCAAAAAGTACAGTAGCTAAAACAGTTATAATAAATATGAGTAAGGTAAGATCATTTACTTGATTTCAAGACTAATCAAGTCTATGTCATATTGGTGAAGAGATATATGCATCAATCAATGGAATAAAATGGAGAGCCCATAAGAGAATTCACAGAAATATTCCCACTTGATTAATGGGAAAGGTGCAAAAGGAATTCAATAAAGAAGGATAACCTTTTCAACAAATGCATCAGCAAGAATACATCTCATACTTTACCAAAAATATTAACCAAAGATGGATCACTAACTTAAATGTAAAAGTATTAAAAACTTTTCATAGAAAAAAGCAGCTTTATTCATAACTGCTGCAACTGATATCAGTCCAAATGAAAAACGTTTAAACAAACTGTGATACATCTATATCATGGAATACTACTCAGCCATAAAAATGAACTATTGTTACATGTAAAAACCTAATAAATCTGCAGGGAATTATGCTGGATGAAAAAAATCCAGTCCATGTAGGTTACATATTGCATGATTCTATTTATATAAGATTCTTGAAATGACAAAAATTATATAAATGGGGAATACATTAGTAGCTTTCGGGGTTACGGAGGGAGTAGGGATGGAGAAAAGTGACTGTGGCTATTAAATGGCAACACGAGAGACCATTGCAATGAATGAAATATTCTGTATCTTGATTACACCAATTTCAACATCCTGTTTGTTATATTGTATTATAATTTTGCAGGATGTTAGCATTAAAGGGGATTGGGTAAATCATACATAGGCTCTCTCTATATTATTTCTTACAACTGGATGCAAATCTAAAATTATCTCACAAAAGTTTAATGAAGACAAAATAATCAGAGCCTTCAGTGACCAGTGGAAAGTAGCAAGAAGAAAATGTCACATAACTAGAAAATCTAAAGGAGAGAAGACAGAGTAAGAGAAAGAAAAAAGTGTGAATAATGATCGAACATTTTCAGGGGAGGAGCCAAGATGGCCGAATAGGAACAGCTCCAGTCTACAGCTCCCAGCGTGAGCGACACAGAAGACAGGTGATTTCTGCATTTCCATCTGAGGTACCGGGTTCATCTCACTAGGGAGTGCCAGACAGTGGGTGAAGGTCAGTGGGTGCTCTCACCGTGTGCGAGTCAAAGCAGGGTGAGGCATTGCCTCACTCAGGAAGTGCAAGGGGTCAGGGAGTTCCCTTTCCTAGTCAAAGAAAGGGGTGACAGACAGCACCTGGAAAATCGGGTCACTCCCACCCGAATACTGCGCTTTTCTGACGGGCTTAAAAAACAGCGCTATCTATGACAAACGCACAGCCAATATCATACTGAATGGGCAAAAACTGGAAGCATTCCCTTTGAAAATTGGCACAAGACAGGGATGCCCTCTCTCACTGCTCCTATTCAACATAGTGTTGGAAGTTCTGGCCGGGGCAATCAGGCAGGAGAAGGAAATAAAGGGTATTCAATTAGGAAAAGAGGAAGTCAAATTGTCCCTGTTTGCAGACGACATGATTGTTTATCTAGAAAACCCCATCGTCTCAGCCCAAAATCTCCTTAAGCTGATAAGCAACTTCAGCAAAGTCTCAGGATACAAAATCAATGTACAAAAATCACAAGCATTCTTATACACCAACAACAGACAAACAGAGAGCCAAATCATGAGTGAACTCCCATTCACAATTGCTTCAAAGAGAATAAAATACCTAGGAATCCAACTTACAAGGGATGTGAAGGACCTCTTCAAGGAGAACTACAAACCACTGCTTAAGGAAATAAAAGAGGATACAAACAAATGGAAGAACATTCCATGCTCATGGGTAGGAAGAATCAATATCGTGAAAATGGCCATACTGCCCAAGGTAATTTACAGATTCAATGCCATCCCCATCAAGCTACCAATGACTTTCTTCACAGAATTGGAAAAAACTACTTTAAAGTTCATATGGAACCAAAAAAGAGCCCGCATCGCCAAGTCAATCTTAAGCCAAAAGAACAAAGCCAGAGGCATCACACTACCTGACTTCAAACTATACTACAAGGCTACAGTAACCAAAACAGAGATATAGATCAATGGAACAGAACAGAGCCCTCAGAAATAACGCCGCATACCTACAACTATCTGATCTTTGACAAACCTGAGAAAAACAAGCAATGGGGAAAGGATTCCCTATTTAATAAATGGTGCTGGGAAAACTGGCTAGCCATATGTAGAAAGCTGAAACTGGATCCCTTCCTTACACCTTATACAAAAATCAATTCAAGATGGATTAAAGATTTAAACGTTAGACCTAAAACCATAAAAACCCTACAAGAAAACCTAGGCATTACCATTCAGGACATAGGCGTGGGCAAGGACTTCATGTCCAAAACACCAAAAGCAATGGCAACAAAAGCCAAAATTGACAAATGGGATCTAATTAAACTAAAGAGCTTCTGCAAAGCAAAAGAAACTACCATCAGAGTGAACAGGCAACCTACAACATGGGAGAAAATTTTCGCAACCTACTCATCTGACAAAGGGCTAATATCCAGAATCTACAATGAACTCAAACAAATTTACAAGAAAAAAACAAACAACCCCATCAAAAAGTGGGCGAAGGACATTAACAGACACTTCTCAAAAGAAGACATTTATGCAGCCAAAAAATACATGAAAAAATGCACATCATCACTGGCCATCAGAGAAATGCAAATCAAAACCACTATGAGATATCATCTCACACCAGTTAGAATGGCAATCATTAAAAAGTCAGGAAACAACAGGTGCTGGAGAGGATGTGGAGAAATAGGAACACTCTTACACTGTTGTTGGGACTGTAAACTAGTTCAACCATTGTGGAAGTCAGTGTGGCGATTCCTCAGGGATCTAGAACTAGAAATACCATTTGACCCAGCCATCCCATTACTGGGTATATACCCAAAGGACTATAAATCATGCTGCTATAAAGACACATGCACACGTATGTTTATTGCGGCATTATTCACAATAGCAAAGACTTGGAACCAACCCAAATGTCCAACAATGATAGACTGGATTAAGAAAATGTGGCACATATACACCATGGAATACTATGCAGCCATAAAAAATGATGAGTTCATGTCCTTTGTAGGGACATGGATGAAATTGGAAACCATCATTCTCAGTAAACTATCGCAAGAACAAAAAACCAAACACCGCATATTCTCACTCACAGGTGGGAATTGAACAATGAGATCACATGGACACAGGAAGGGGAATATCACACTCTGGGGACTGTGGTGGGGTGGGGGGAGGGGGGAGGTATAGCAGTGGGAGATATACCTAATGCTAGATGACGAGTTAGTGGGTGCAGCGCACCAGCATGGCACATGTATACATATGTAACTAACCTGCACAATGTGCACATGTACCCTAAAACTTAAAGTATAATAAAAAAAATAAAATAAAAAAATAAAAATAAAAATAAAATAAAATAAATACAAAAAAAAAACACACAAAAAAACAGTGCACCAGGAGATTATATCCCGCACATGGCTCAGAGGGTCCTACACCCACGGAGTCTCGCTGATTGCTAGCATAGCAGGCTGAGATCAAACTGCAAGGCAGCAGGGAGGCTGGGGGAGGGGCGCCCACCATTGCCCAGGTTTGCTTAGGTAAACAAAGCAGCCGGGAAGCTTGAACTGGGTGGAGCCCACCACAGCTCAAGGAGGCCTGCCTGACTCTGTAGGCTCCACCTCTGGGGGCAGGGCACAGACAAACAAAAAGACAGCAGTAACCTCTGCAGACTTAAATGTCCCTGTCTGACAGCTTTGAAGAGAGCAGTGGTTCTCCCAGCAAGCAGCTGGAGATCTGAGAACGGGCAGACTGCCTCCTTATGTGGGTCCCTGACCCCTGACCCCCGAGCAGCCTAACTGGGAGGCACCCCCCAGAAGGGGCAGACTGACACCTCACACGGCTGGGTACTCCAACAGACCTGCAGCTGAGGGTCCTCTCTCTTAGAAGGAAAACTAACAAACAGAAAGGACATCCACACCAAAAACCCATCTGTACATCACCATCATCAAAGACCAAAAGTAGATAAAACCACAAAGATGGGGAAAAAACAGAGCAGAAAAACTGGAAACTCTAAAAAGCAGAGCGCCTCTCCTCCTCCAAAGGAACACAGTTCCTCACCAGCAACGGAACAAAGCTGGACGGAGAATGACTTTGACGAGCTGAGAGAAGAAGGCTTCAGACGATCAAATTACTCCGAGCTACGGGAGGACATTCAAACCAAAGGCAAAGAAGTTGAAAACTGTGAAAAAAATTTAGAAGAATGTATAACTAGAATAACCAATACAGAGAAGTGCTTAAAGGAGCTGATGGAGCTGAAAACCAAGGCTCAAGAACTATGTGAAGAATGCAGAAGACTCAGGAGCCGATGCAATAAACTGGAAGAAAGGGTATCAGCAATGGAAGATGAAATGAATGAAATGAAGCGAGAAGGGAAGTTTAGAGAAAAAAGAATAAAAAGAAATGAACAAAGCCTCCAAGAAATGTGGGACTATGTGAAAAGACCAAATCTACGTCTGATTGGTATACCTGAAAGTGACGGGGAGAATGGAACCAAGTTGGAAAACACTCTGCAGGATATTATCCAGGAGAACTTCCCCAATCTAGCAAGGCAGGCCAACGTTCAGATTCAGGAAATACAGAGAATGCCACAAAGATACTCCTCGAGAAGAGCAACTCCAAGACACATAATTGTCAGATTCACCAAAGTTGAAATGAAGGAAAAAATGTTAAGGGCAGCCAGAGAGAAAGGCCGGGTTACCCTCAAAGGGAAGCCCATCAGACTAACAGTGGATCTCTCGGCAGAAACTCTACAAGCCAGAAGAGAGTGGGGGCCAATATTCAACATTCTTAAAGAAAAGAATTTTCAACCCAGAATTTCGTATCCAGCCAAACTAAGCTTCATAAGTGAAGGAGAAATAAAATACTTTACAGACAAGCAAATGCTGAGAGATTTTGTCACCACCAGGCCTGCCCTAAAAGAGCTCCTGAAGGAAGCGCTAAACATGGAAAGGAACAACCGGTACCAGCCGCTGCAAAATCATGCCAAAATGTAAAGACCATCGAGACTAGGAAGAAACTGCATCAACTAACGAGCAAAATAACCAGCTAACATCATAATGACAGGATCAAATTCACACATAACAATATTAACTTTCAATGTAAATGGACTAAATGCTCCAATTAAAAGACACAGACTGGCAAATTGGATAAAGAGTCAAGACCCATCAGTGTGCTGTATTCAGGAAACCCATCTCACCTGCAGAGACACACATAGGCTCAAAATAAAAGGATGGAGGAAGATCTACCAAGCAAATGGAAAACAAAAAAAGGCAGGGGTTGCAATCCTAGTCTCTGATAAAACAGACTTTAAACCAACAAAGATCAAAAGAGACAAAGAAGGCCATTACATAATGGTCAAGGGATCAATTCAACAAGAAGAGCTAACTATCCTAAATATATATGCACCCAATACAGGAGCACCAAGATTCATAAAGCAAGTCCTGAGTGACCTACAATGAGACTTAGACTCCCACACATTAATAATGGGAGACTTTAACACCCCACTGTCAATATTAGACAGATCAACGAGACAGAAAGTCAACAAGGATACCCAGGAATTGAACTCAGCTCTGCACCAAGTGGACCTAATAGACATCTACAGAAATCTCCACCCCAAATCAACAGAATATACATTTTTTTCAGCACCACACCACACCTATTCCAAAATTGACCACATACTTGGAAGTAAAGCTCTCCTCAGCAAATGTAAAAGAATAGAAATTATAACAAACTATCTCTCAGACCACAGTGCAATCAAACTAGAACTCAGGGGTAAGAAACTCACTAAAAACCGCTCAACTACATGGAAACTGAACAACCTGCTCCTGAATGACTACTGGGTACATAACGAAATGAAGGCAGAAATAAAGATGTTCTTTGAAACCAACGAGAACAAAGACACTACATGCCAGAATCTCTGGGACGTGTTCAAAGCAGTGTGTAGAGGGCAATTTATAGCACTGAATGCCCACAAGAGAAAGCAGGAAAGATCCAAAATTGACACCCTAACATCACAATTAAAAGAACTAGAAAAGCAAGAGCAAACACATTCAAAAGCTAGCAGAATGCAAGAAACAACTAAAATCAGAGCAGAAATGAAGGAAACAGAGACATAAAAACCCTTCAAAAATTAATGAATCCAGGAGCTGGTTTTTTGAAAGGATCAACAAAATGGATAAACCGCTAGCAAGACTAAGAAAAAAGGAGGGAAGAATCAAATAGACACAATAAAAAATGATAAAGGGGATATCACCACCGATCCCACAGAAATACAAACTACCATCAGAGAATATTACAAACACCTCTACACAAATATACTAGAAAATCTAGAAGAAATGGATAAATTCCTCGACACATACACTCTCCCAAGACTAAACCAGGAAGAAGTTGAATCTCTGAATAGACCAATAACAGCATCTGAAATTGTGGCAATAATCAATAGCTTACCAACCAAAAAGAGTCCAGGACCAGATGGATTCACAGCCAAATTCTACCAGAGGTACAAGGAGGAACTGGTACCATTCCTTCTGAAACTATTCCAATCAATAGAAAAAGAGGGAATCCTCCCCAACTCATTTTATGAGGCCAGCATCATTCTGATACCAAAGCCTGGCACAGACAAAACAAAAAAAGAGAATTTTAGACCAATATCCCTGATGAACATCAATGCAAAAATCCTCAATAAAATACTGGCAAACCAAATCCAGCAGCACATCAAAAAGCTTATCTACCATGATCAAGTGGGCTTCATCCCTGGGATACAAGGCTGGTTCAATATATGCAAATCAATACATGTAATCCAGCATATAAACAGAACCAAAGACAAAAACCACATGATGATCTCAATAGATGCAGAAAAGGCATGTGACAAAATTCAACAATGCTTCATGCTAAAAACACTCAATAAATTAGGTATTGATGGGATGTATTTCAAAATAATAAGAGCTATCTATGACAAACCCACAGCCAATATCATACTGAATGGGCAAAAACTGGAAACATTCCCTTTGAAAACTGGCATAAGACAGGGATGCCCTCTCTCACCACTCCTATTCAACATAGTGTTGGAAGTTCTGGCCAGGGCAATTAGGCAGGAGAAGGAAATAAAGGGTATTCAATTAGGAAAAGAGGAAGTCAAATTGTCCCTGTTTGCAGATGACATGATTGTATATCTAGAAAACCCCATCGTCTCAGCCCAAAATCTCCTTAAGCTGATAAGCAACTTCAGCAAAGTCTCAGGATACAAAATCAATGTACAAAAATCACAAGCATTCTTATACACCAACAACAGACAAACAGAGAGCCAAATCATGAGTGAATTCCCATTCACAATTGCTTCAAAGAGAATAAAATACCTAGGAATCCAACTTACAAGGGATGTGAAGGAACTCTTCAAGGAGAACTACAAACAACTGCTCAAGGAAATAAAAGAGGATACAAACAAATGGAAGAATATTCCATGCTCATGGGTAGGAAGAATCAATATCGTGAAAATGGCCATACTGCCCAAGGTAATTTACAGATTCAATGCCATCCCCATCAAGCTACCAATGACTGTCTTCACAGAATTGGAAAAAACTACTTTAAAGTTCATATGGAACCAAAAAAGAGCCCGCATTGCCAAGTCAATCCTAAGCCAAAAGAACAAAGCTGGAGGAATCACACTACCTGACTTTAAACTATACTACAAGCCTACAGTAACCAAAACAGCATGGTACTGGTACCAAAACAGAGATATAGATCAATGGAACAGAACAGAGCCCTCAGAAATAACGCCGCATATCTACAACTATCTGATCTTTGAAAAACCTGAGAAAAATGAGCAATGGGGAAAGGATTCCCTATTTAATAAATGGTTCTGGGAAAACTGGCTAGCCATATGTAGAAAGCTGAAACTGGATCCCTTCCTTACACCTTATACAAAAATCAATTCAAGATGGATTAAAGATTTAAATGTTAGACCTAAAACCATAAAAACCCTAGAAGAAAACCTAGGCATTACCATTCAGGACGTAGGCATGGGCAAGGACTCCATGTCTAAAACACCAAAAGCAATGGCAATAAATCCAAAATTGACAAATGGGATCTAATTAAACTAAAGAGCTTCTGCACAGCAAGAGAAACTACCATCAGAGTGAACAGGCAACCTACAAAATGGGAGAAAATTTTCGCAACCTACTCATCTGACAAAGGGCTAATATCCAGAATCTACAATGAACTCAAACAAATTTACAAGAAAAAAACAAACAACCCCATCAAAAAGTGGGTGAAGGACAGGAACAGACTCTTCTCAAAAGAAGACATTTATGCAGCCAAAAAACACATGAAAAAATGCTCACCATTACTGGCCATCAGAGAAATGCAAATCAAAACCACAATGAGATACCATCTCACACCACTTAGAATGGCAATCATTAAAAAGTCGGGAAACAACAGGTGCTGGAGAGGATGTGGAGAAATAGGAACACTTTTACACTGTTGGTGGGACTGTAAACTAGTTCAACCCTTGTGGAAGTCAGTGTGGCGATTCCTCAGGGATCTAGAACTAGAAATACCATTTGACCCAGGCAACCCATTACTGAGTATATACTCAAAGGACTATAAATCATGCTGCTATAAAGACACATGCACACGTATGTTTATTGCGTCACTATTCACAATAGCAAAGACTTGGAACCAACCCAAATGTCCAACAATGATAGACTGGATTAAGAAAATGTGGCACATATACACCATGGAATACTATGCAGCCATAAAAAATGATGAGTTCATGTCCTTTGTAGGGACATGGATGAAACTGGAAATCATCATTCTCAGTAAACTATCACAAGAACAAAAAACCAAACACCTCATATTCTCACTCATAGGTGGGAATTGAACAATGAGAACACATGGAAACAGGAAGGGGAACATCACACTCTGGGGACTGTTGTGGGGTGGGGGGAGGGGGGAGGGATAGCACTGGGAGATATACCTAATGCTAGATGACGAGTTAGTGGGTGCAGCGCACCAGCATGGCACATGTATACATATGTAACTAACTTGCACATTGTGCACATGTACCCTAAAACTTAAAGTATAATAATAATAAATAAATTGTAAAAATGATCAAACATTTTCTAAATTTGATAACTAAAACCACATATCCCAAAATTTCAATGAACTCAAGGAGGATAAACATGAGAAGAAAAGCACCACATTAGGCCACACACCCACAACCATCTGATCTTCGACCAACCTGACAAATACAAGCCATGGGAAAGGACCCTCTGTTCAATAAATAGTGCTGGGATAACTGGCTAGCCACATGTAGAAGATTGAAAATGGATCCTGTCTTTACACTATATACAAAAATCAACTCGAGATGGATTAAAGACTTATATGTAAAACCCAAAACTATAAGAACCCTGGAAGACAACCAAGGCAATACCATTCTGAACATAGGAACAGGTTTTCATGATGAAGGCACCAAAAGCAATTGCAAGAAAAGCCAAAATTGACAAATGGGATCTATTTCAACTAAAGAGCTTCTGCACAGCAAAAGAAAACTATGAATAGAACAAAGAGACAACCTATGGAATGGGAGAAAAGATATACACGTGGCCAAAAAGCACATGAAAAAAAGTTCAATATCACTAATCATAAGAGAAATACAAATCAAAACCACAGTGAGGCAACATTCACATCAGTCAGAATGGCTATTATTAAAAAGTCAAAAAATAACAGATGCTGGTGAGATTGTGAACCCTGGCATCAGGTTGGCGGCCATAGCCCCAAGTTCCAGACCAGCACGTACAGGTAAAGCCTTCAGGCCCACTCCAATGCCAGGCAGGACCCTACAGCCCCAGGCTCCAGGCTGGACCCCACAGCCAAAGGTTTCAGGCCTACCCTAGAGCCAGGCTAGCTCCAGTGGTTGTCTCAGGCCTCAGACTAGCATTAATGAATCTAGGCTTCAGGCCTCTGGCTATAGTACATCAGGGTTCAGGTCCACCCCAGTAGACCTTAGCACCAGGCTGGCCCCTATATTCCCAGACTCCAGAACTACCCCTGTGAACTCAGGCTCTAGGCTAGATCCAGAACTAGGCCAGCCCCTATGGACTTAGGCTCTAGGCCCGTTCCCATGGAAGCAGGCCCTGGGCCTGCCCCTATGGGCCTAGGTACCAAGCTATAATCCCAGTAACTCTAGCTTCAGGATAGTCCGTACAAATTCAGGACTTGTGAATATAGCTTCCAGGCCTGCCCCTGAGGATCCAAACTCCAATATGACCACTCCCACAGACCCAGTAAACAAGCGCACTGCAGTGGATCTCAGCCACAAGCTGAGCCCCAGTGACTCAGGATTCAAGCCCACCGCAGCAGATTCAAGCTCCAGACTCCAGAGTGGACTCAGGCTCTGGGCTCAACCCTGTGGACCCAGGCACTAAGCCTACACCTGTGGAACCAGGTGCTAAGCCTGCCAAGCTTCTGACCCTACACCAGGCCCCAAGACTCTAGCAGCAAGTCTACCCATGAACCCTGCAAGATGGTCTTCCAAGAATCTTTGGATAAACTGACTAGTGGAACTTTTCTTTCCAAAGCCTGTCTGTAAAGACTGAAATAGGTGCTTACTTTTTCATATGTGCACATACTAATTTATGTCCACATAATCATAAACATCAGGAAAACATAATACCACCAAAGGAAAAAAAGTAAAGCACCAGTAACTGACCCTTCCTTAAAAAATAGAGGTCTGTGAACTTCCTGACAAAGAATTCAAAATAATTTTAAAGAAGCCCACTTAGCTACAAAAGAACATAAATAAAAAAAAAATAAAATTAGGAAAACAATACATGTACAGAATAAAAAGTAGAACAAAGATATGCTATAAAAAATAACCAAACAAAAGTTGTGGCACTACAAATCAATGACTGAACTGAAAATTTTATACAAAGCTTCAACAGTGGACTCAATCAAGCAAAGAAAGAATCAGCAAGCTCAAAGAAAGCATATTTCAAATTACCCAGACAGGGAAATGAAAAGAAAAAAAGAATAAAAAGGTGTAAAGAAAGCCTACAGAAATTCTGAGAAAAGATCAAGTGAAACAATGTATGCATCATGGTAGTTCAAGAAGGGGCAGAGAAAGATAAAGGGGCCAGAAGAAATAATGATTAAAAAAACTCCCCATATCTGGAGATGAAAATGAATCTCCATATCCATGAAGCCCAAATAACCCAAATAGATTAAATATGGAGAGATCTTCATCAAGACACATAATAATGAAATTTTCAAAAGTCAAACATAAGACAGAAGTTAGAAAACAAGAGAAAGACAACTTGCTACATACAAGGGAAAGTTCATAAGATTATTAGCAGTTTTTTCAGCAAAAACATTACAGGTGAGGAGAGAGTGGGCTGATATATTCAATATGTTAAAATGAAAGAAAGAAAGACAAAAAGGCCTGTCAACAAAGAATACTATACCCAGCAAATCTAATTTTCAGAAATGAATGAGAGATAAGTAAGGACTTTCCAAGACAAAGAAAAGCCATGGGAGATTATTACCGCTGGAATTGTCTTACAAGAAATGCTAAAGTGAATTTTCCAAGTTAAAACAAAAGGATGTCAGCCAACAACATGAAAAATATGAAAGTATAACTCATTATAAGGTAAGAATATGGTCAAATTCAGACTACTCTGATACTGTAATGGTGGTATGTAAATAAACCTGGTGGTTTATAAATACAAAAAAAGTATTAAAATAACTGTATTTACAATAATTTGTTAATGGACAGGATAAATACAAAAAATGTAAATTGAGACATAAATAACATAAAACATGCAGGAGGAAAAGGTAAAGTGTAGTTTTTGAATGCCAATGAAATTAAATTGTTATCAGCCTAAAATAGTCTGATATAGCTATGAGATGTTTTACATAAGCCTCATGGTAACTACAAGAAAAAAAACTGTACAAAATTCACAAAAAGTTAAGAAAAAGGAAACAAATAATACCACTAGAGAAAATCACATATCACAAAGAAAGACAATAATAGAGGCAGAATGGAACTAAGTAGTCAGGACAATATTAACAAAATGGCAGTAGTAAGTCTTTACCTATCAATAATTACTTTAGATGTAAATTGATTAAATTCTCCAATCAAAAGACACAAAGTGTCTACATAAATAAAAAGATAAGATTAAATTATGTGCTGCCTACAAGAGATTAACTTGAGTTTTAAAACCCACATGTACTGAAAGTGAAGGAATGGAAAAAGACATTCTATGTAAACAAAAGAGAGGAAAGGTGGCTATTTATATCAGAGAAAATAGATGTTAAGACAAAAACTATTATGAAATACAAAGGAGGTCACGAGAGTCAACTCACTAAGATTACAGAATGATTATAAGTGTATATGCACCCAAAAAGGCACCATGTAAATGTATAGGGCAAATACTAACATGACTGCTGGGAGAAGTAGACAGTAATACAATAATGGAAGACTTCAATAGCCAACTTTCAACAATGGATAGATCATCTAGATAGAAAGTCAATAAGAAAACAGTGGGCTTGAACAATACTGTAGAGCAAATAGACCTATTAGACATATACAGAACACTTTATCCAACAGCAGCAAAACACACATTCTTTTCAGGTGCATATGGAACATTGTCCAAGTAGATCATATTAGGTCATAAAACAAGTATTAAGAAATTTAAGAAGACTGAAATCATATCCAGTATCTTTCCTGACTATAATGTTTTAAAACTTGAAAACACTAACAGGAAGAAAATTAGAAAATTCACCAAAATGTGGAAATTAAACAACACCTATCTCAACAATCAATGGGTCAAGAATAAATGAAAAGGGAAATCAAAAAATATCTTGAGATAAATGAAAATGGATACACAACTTACCAAAACATATGGCATGCAGCAAAAGCAGTGCTAAGAGATATGTTTATAGCAAAAAAGACGTACATTGAGAGAGAAAAAAGATCTCAAGAAAAAAAAAAAACTAATTTATACATCGAGGAACTAGAAAAAGAACAACAAAGTAAGCCCTAATTCACCAGCAGGAGGAAAATGAGAAAGATCAGAGTAGATATAAATAAAATTAAAACTAGGAAAACAATAGAAAAAGCTAATAAAACTAAGATTTGCTGTTTTGATAAGATGATGAACCTTTAGCTACACTAAAAAAAGAATATGTGCATAAAATTATAAATGAAAGAGACGACATTACAATTTATAGAACAGCACCATAAAGGATCATGAGACACTACTATGAAGAGTTATACTCCAATGAATGCAACATCCTAGAAGAAATGGATAAATTCCTAGAAACACAAAATCTATCAAGACTGGATCATCTCAGAAATAGAAGATCTGAACACACCAATACAGGGAAGGAGATTGAATCAGTAAATAGAAACTTTCCAAAAAAGAAAAGTCCCATATTTGATGGTTTCATTGGTATATTTTATTAAATATTTTAAAAACTGGCACCTATTCCTCTCAAATGCTTCCAAAAAGGTGAAGAGGAAGAAACACTTCCAAACTCATTTTATAAAGCCAACATCATCCTGATAGAAAAGTCAGACAAGGACACTTCAAGAAAGAAAATTACAGGGCATAAGGGCTCACACCTGTAATCCCAGCTACTGGGGAGGCTGAGGCAGGAGAATCACTTGAACCTGGGAGGCAGAGATTGCAGTGAGCTGAGATCACGGCACTGCACTCCAGTCTGGGAGACAGAGAGACTTTGTGTCACCAAACAAACAAACAAAACAAACAAACAAACAAAAATTACAGGCTAATATTCTTGATGAACATAGATGCAAATTCCTCAACATAACACTAGCAAACAAAACGTAATAGCAAATTAAAAGGATCATATGCCAATTCTGTAAAGAAAGTCATTGGTAGCTTGATGGGGATGGCATTGAATCTATAAATTACCTTGGGCAGTAGGGCCATTTTCACGATATTGATTCTTCCTACCCATGAGCATGGAATGTTCTTCCATTTGTTTGTATCCTCTTTTATTTCCTTGAGCAGTGGTTTGTAGTTCTCCTTGAAGAGGTCCTTCATGTCCCTTGTAAGTTGGATTCCTAGGTATTTTATTCTCTTTGAAGCAATTGTAAATGGGAGTTCACTCATGATTTGGCTCTCCATTTGTCTGTTATTGGTGTATAAGAATGCTTGTGATTTTTGCACACTGATTTTGTATCCTGAGACTTTGCTGAAGTTGCTTATCAGCTTAAGGAGATTTTGGGCTGAGACGATGGGGTTTTCTAGATATACAATCATGTCACCTGCAAACAGGGACAATTTGACTTCCTCTTTTCCTAATTGAATACCCTTTATTTCTTTCTCCTTCCTGATTGCCCTGGCCAGAACTTCCAACACTATGTTGAATAGGAGTGGTGAGAGAGGGCATCCCTGTCTTGTGCCAGTTTTCAAAGGGAATGCTTCCAGTTTTTGCCCATTCAGTATGATATTGGCTGTGGGTTTGTCATAAATAGCTCCTATTATTTTGAGATATGTCCCATCAATACCTAATTTATTGAGAGTTTTTAGCGTGAAGGGCTGTTGAATTTTGTCAAATGCCTTTTCTGCATCTATTGAGATCATCATGTGGTTTTTGTCTTTGGTTCTGTTTATATGCTGGATCACATTTATTGATTTGCATATGTTGAACCAGCCTTGTATCCCAGGGATGAAGCCCACCTGATCATGGTGGATAAGCTTTTTGATGTGCTGCTGGATTTGGTTTGCCAGTATTTTATTGAGGATTTTTGCATCGATGTTCATCAGGCATATTGGTCTAAAATTCTCTTTTTTTGTTGTGTCTGTGCCAGGCTTTGGTATCAGGATGAAGCTGGCCTCATAAAATGAGTTAAGGAGGATTCCCTCTTTTTCTATTGATTGTAATAGTTTCAGAAGGAATGGTACCAGTTCCTCCTTGTACCTCTGGGAGAATTTGGCTGTGAAACCATCTGGTCCTGGACTTTTGTTGGTTGGTAGGATATTAATTATTGCCTCAGTTTCAGATCTTGTTATTGGTCTATTCAGGGATTCAACTTCTTCCTGGTTTAGTCTTGGGAGGGTGTTATGTGTCGAGGAATTTATCCGTTTCTTCTAGATTTTCTAGTTTATTTGTGTAGAGGTGTTTATACTATTCTCTGATGGTAGTTTGTATTTCTGTGGGATCGGTTGTGATATCCCCTTTATCATTTTTTATTGCATCTATTTGATTCTTCTCTCTTTTTCTTTTTATTAGTCTTGCTAGCAGTCTATCAATTTTGTTGATCTTTTCAAAAAACCAGCTCCTTGATTCACTGATTTTTTGAAGGGTTTTTTGTGTCTCTATCTCCGTCAGTTCTGCTCTGATCTTAGTTATTTCTTGCGTTCTGCTAGCTTTTGAATGTGTTTGCTCTTCCTTCTCTAGTTCTTTTAATTGTGATGTTAGGGTGTCAATTTTAGATCTGTCCTGCTTTCTCTTGTGGGCATTTAGTGCTATAAATTTCCCTCTATACACCGCTTTAAATGTGTCCCAGAGATTCTAGTATGTTGTGTCTTTGTTCTCATTGGTTTCAAAGAACATCTTTATTTCCGCCTTCATTTCGTAACAGACACTTCTCAAAAGAAGACATTTATGCAGCCAAAAGACACATGAAAAAATGCTCATCATCACTGGCCATCAGAGAAACGCAAATCAAAACCACAATGAGATACCATCTCACACCAGTTAGAATGGTGATCATTAAAAAATCAGGAAACAAGAGGTGCTGGAGAAGATGTGGAGAAATAGGAACACTTTTACACTGTTGGTGGGACTGTAAACTAGTTCAACCATTGTGGAAACAGTGTGGCCATTCCTCAAGGATCTAGAACTGGAAGTACCATTTGACCTAGCCATTCCATTACTAGGTATATACCCACAGGATTATAAATCATAGCTGCTATAAAGACACATGCACACGTATGTTTATTGTGGCACTATTCACAATAGCAAAGACTTGGAACCAACCCAAATGTCCATCAATGATAGACTAGATTAAGAAAATGTGGCACATACACACCACGGAATACTATGCAGCCGTAAAAAAGGATGAGTTCGTGTCCTTTGTAGGGACATGGATGAAGCTGGAAACCATAACTCTCAGCAAAGTATCGCAAGGACAAAAAGCCAAACACAGCATATTCTCACTCATAGGTGGGAATTGAACAATGAGAACACATGGACACAGGAAGGGAAACATCACACACTGGAGCCCATTGGGGGGTGGGGGGATGGGGAGGGATACCATTAGGAGATATACCTAATGTAAATGACCAGTTAATGGGTGCAGCACACCAACATGGAACATGTATACATATGTAACAAACCTGCATGTTGTGCACATGTACCCTAGAACTTAAAGTATAATAAAAAAAAATAGGAATAGCAAAAAAAAAAAAAAAAAAAAAGGATCATACACCATGGTCAAGTAGGATTTATCCTTGGAATGCAATAATTGTTTAATATATACAAATTAACAAATGAGATATACCACATTAACACAGTGAAGGATAAAACCCATATGGTCACCTCATTGGATGAAGTAAAAACATCTGAAAAAATTCAATATCCTTTCATGAAAAAACTTCCAACAAATTATGTGTAGAAGAAATGTATCTTGACTAAGTACAGGCTATATACAACCAGCCCACAGCTAACATCAAACTAACCAATGAAAAGCTAAAGGCTTTTCCTCTAAGATCAAAAACATGATAAAGATGTTCACTTTCACCACATCTATTCAATATAGTGCTGGAATTCCTAGACAGATAAATTAGGCAAAAAAAAAAAAAAAAAGAAAGAAAGAAAAGATATCCAAAATATAAAGGAAGAAATAAAATTGTCTCTATTTGCAGATGACAAGTTCTTATATATAGGAAATCCTGCAGACTCTACCAGAAACTGCTAGAACTAAAAAACAAATTAAATAAAATTGCAGGATGCAAAATCAGCACAAAACATCAGTTGCATTTTTATACTCCAACAGCAAATTATTCAAAAAATAAATCAATCTAGCAATTCCACATATAATAGCATCAATAAAAATGAAATACTTGGCAAGAAATGTAACCAAGGAGGTGAAAGGTCTGTCCACTGAAAACTATAGAACATTGATGAAAGAAACTGAAGACAACACAAACAAATAGAAAGATATCCGGTGTTCATGGATTAAAAGAATTAATACTACTGAAATGCCCCTACTACCCAAAGAAATCTACAGATTCAATGTGGTTCCTATCAAAATTCTCATTGCATTTTAAAATATTTCCCACATTTTTAATTTTTTTATTTCCAACTTTTATTTTAAGCTCAAGGACACATGTGTAGGAAGTGCAGGTTCGTTACATAGGTAAATGTATACATACCATGGACATAGAAAGAAATCCTAAGATTCATAGAGAACCACAGAAGACCTTCAATAGCCAAAGCAATTTTGATCAAAAGGAATAAAGCTGGATATATCACACTAATTGATTTCAAAAATACTACAAATCTACACTAATCAAAACAACATGGTACTGGCATAAAATACACAAATAGACCAATGGGACAGAAAGAAAACCAATAAACTAATCCACAAATTTATGGTTAATTGATCCTTGACAAAAATGTCAAGAACACCTAATAGAGAATAGACAGTATCTTCAATAACTATCCACATGTGTACGAATGAAATTGAACCCTTATCTTACCCCATATACAAAATCAAACCAGAATGAATTAAAGGTTTAAGTATACGACCTGAACTGTAAAACTATTCAAATAAACATAGAGGAAAAGCTTCTTGACATTGGTCTGAACAATTATTTTTTGAATACGTCCTCAAAAGCACCGGCCAAAAAAGCAAAAATACACAAACAGGACTGAGTCAAACTAAAAACCTCCTGCACAGAAACAACAACACAACAACAACAACAACAACAAAACAAAACAAAACAAAAAAAACACCAATGAACAGAACGAAAAGACAACTTATGGAATGAGAGAAAATATTTGCAAATTATACTTATGATAAAAGGTTAATATCTGTCTTAGTTCATTTTCCTTGCTTATAACAGAGTACCTGAAACTGAGTGATTTATTTTTAAAAAAGGAATTTATTTATGATCCATTATTCACACTTCAGGGTATATATTCAAGGACAATTAAATCAGTATGTTGAAGAGATTACTGTACTCCCATGTTCAATGTAAGTGCCCATTGACAGATGAATGCATAAAGAAATGAATAAAGAAAAAAGACACCCACAACAGAATACTATTCAGTCTTTTAAAAGAAGAAAATCCCGTCATGAGCAGCAACACGGATGAACTTGGGGGACATTATACTAAGTGAACGTCAGGTTCAGAAATACTGTATTATCTTACTTATATGTGGAATTAAAAAATTTGAATTTGTATAAGCAGAGAGCAGAATGGTGGTTTCCAGGGCCTGGGAAGGGAGGTAAGGGAGAAATGAGATGTTGGTTGAAGATACAATATTTCTGTTAGAAAGGATAAATAATTTCTGGAGAGTTATGTTGACTACAGTCAATAATAATATATTGTAAATTTTAAAAATTGCTAAGTGAATAGATCATAAATGTTCTCATCACAAAAAAAGATAAATATTTGAGGTGATAGTTATGTTAATTAGCTTGATTTAATAATTCCACAAAATATACATGTATCAAAACCACATTGTACACTGTAAAAATACACAATTTTAATTTATCAATTATACCTTAATAAAGCCTGGGGCCTGGAGGGGGTGTAAAGACCTTTGAGTCTAATAAAAACATTGAATATTCTTTTTTTAAAAAATCAAAACTTGGCTATGATTATATTTATTTCACTTAGTCTTCATGATATATTTCTACTTTGCAAAGATTGTATTGTATGAAGAGCCAGAGAGATATTTCTGAGTTATTTATATAACAAAACATGTACCTACCTTGTAAACTATAATAGCCAATTTACATTTCTGAAATTGCAAGAAAAAAAACACAAAAAACACCTCTTTTAGAATCTGTGAAAGGTTTACACTGGAGGCAGCTAAATGTTATTTTATTAAAATCAGCAGCACAAATTTCAAGCTTAAGTCCAGAATACTTTTTTCCTAAAAGATGCCATATTACATTTTTCCTTAGCGCTGGGCACAGTGTCTCATGCCTGTAATTCCAGCAGTTTGGGAGGCCAAGGCAGGAGAAGCAGTTGAGGCCAGTAGTGTGAGACCAGCTTGGGCAATATAGTGAGACCCCATTTTTACAAAGTTTTTAAAAAACTAGCTGGGCATGGTGGCATGCACTTGTAGTCCAGCTACTCGAGGCTGAGGTAGGAGGATTGTTTGAGCCTAGGAGGGCCAGGCTGCAGTGAGTGATGATTGCCCCCTGCACTCCAGGCTGGGGGACAGTGAGAGACCTTGTCTCTAAATAAAAAAAAATTAAAAAAATTAAAATTAAACATTTCTTTAGGTTTTCCAGCAACCACTCTTTTGGAAGTTAGATGAAAGGATTGCAGATGACATGGAAAGAATCTGGCTAATTCTGACCTCAGCATGACTACCTCCCAACACACTCATGTAATGCTTTATTCAAATCACTTTCTTTAAAACATATGCTGGTAACTTCCATGCATACCTCCATAAGCCCCAGAGCATCTGAGAAGGTGTGTCACTGGTCAGAGTCTCTTGATTTCACCTCTCTAGATTCTCACTTTTTGATCTTCAAAGATGCTCTAAAGCCAGTGATTCTACTAATAAAGTTGAGGTGTCTATGTTTAACGAAGTCTTCATGTACTTAAACAATGCACATGTTCATATCTAAAGATACAGTGGCATTTTACCAGACAGAGAAAATGTTCTAGTCCTAAGAAAAAATATTTGGATATATTGCAAATAAAAATATCTACTCTAAAATCCCAATAGCTTCTTTAATTGTTGATATATGAATTATAATGGGATCTCTATCTGTGTGGTAATCCTATATATTGGGGATGTCTAGACATTGGCATTTTTCTTCTTTGGACTGATTCCTACTTCTCTTAAAGTTCAACTCAAGTGTCTTCTATTAAAAGCCTTTTCTGAACCCCCTTTCAGGTGGCATAGATGCTACCCACTGGGGTTCCTTTAATATAATATACACATCTTTACCACTGTGTTGCTATATTCTCTTTTTATGCAATTGTCTTCCCCACTAGACCATGAGCTTCTTGAGGGCAGAGACGTTTGTTTTTTTGTATCAAAGAACTCATTTCCAGCCCCAGTGCTTGGAACATAATGGGAACTTGCAGAAGTCCCTGGCATGAAGGAAATGAATGACAAAGAAATATGTGAGAGAATGGTGAGGAAGGTAAGCAGATGTTCTGTCTAGTGAAATAACAAATGAATATCCCAAGCCTGAAGAAATTCTCAAAGCAAAATTATTATAAAACAATAATTTGCCACAACTTCCTTAAAAGGAAACAGAACCCCCCAAACCTTTAGATTTTCCTTTCAAGTTTTGCTCATTACTGATATTATTCATTTCATACACACTCTATATCTATTCAAGTCCCTCAGAGAATCAAGACTTATTTCTAGCACAGCCTTATGGATCCCTTTCATCTAGTCCTAGATAAAATGCAAAAAACCTATATAGTTCATGGAGAGATGTGCAGCTGCTGTTGGAGTTTCTGTAAGCTTAATGAACTGCATGTTCACTGTAAAAGCTAATCCAAACCAACTACAGTTAGGGCCATTATGAGGCTTATACGGGTGTTCACACATGAAATACTTGCTAAGAATCTAACTGAGATTCATAATTGACAGCATCTCAGTTTTTGGGACAGTAAGATTGTATTCATTATAGTACAATATAAGACTTTGTATTGACTGACTGGAGAAACTAGCCACATTTTCCTATGCTGCTACAGTTTAGTCTAGCTGTCAATTTGGCAGTTCCTGGGTTGCAAACTGTGGACACTATTGCTTAGCATTCATGTCTGGTTCACATCCCAGCAGTGACAGTTCACCATCTACAATCATGTTTCCTAACTGCAGTCCAGCCCAGCTGCAGAGCCAATTTCCAACACCATTGCAGCCAGCTCAGACAAGAAATCTGGTTATCAAATGCCACATTCTCTGAGGTACAAGGAGACTATGTGCTTTGAGAAGCATTAATAAATGCAGTTAGAGAACCAATGGATAGAAACTAGACTTTCAAAGAAAAGTTAAGACATATTATTAAAAATTATATTCCTCAGAATTGCTATAGTAATTACCATCTAGAGGCTGGGCGCTGTGGCTCATGCCTGTAATCCCAGCACTTTGGGAGGCCGAGGCAGGCGGATCATGAGGTCAGTAGATTGAGACCATCTTGGCTAACATGGTGAAACCCTGTCTCTACTAAAAATACAAAAAAAAAGAAAAAAAAATTAGCTGGGCGTGGTGGTGGGTGCCTGTAATCCCAGCTACTAGGGAGGCTGAGGCAGGAGAATGGCATGAACCCAGGAGGTGGAACTTGCAGTGAGCTGAGATTGTGCCACTGCCCTCCAGCCTGGGCGACAGAGCAAGACTCCATCTCAACAACAAAAACAACAAAAAAATTATCATCTAGAATATTTATGTTAACATTTAATATGGTAAACTTTCAAAATGGCATAGAGAAAAGATGAAGGAAACATGAATTTGTAGCCTGATTCTGGCAAAGCCAGTAGCTCTGAGACCTTGGGACAATAACTTGACTTCCTAGGGCCTTAAGTCCTTTATCTGTAAAATAAACATAATAACAATATTTCATGGGATTATGTAAATATTAAGTGAAATAATGCAGGTAAAACAACGAATACATTGTCTGGAATATTGTAGGCACTCAATAAATGTTAGGCATTATTAGTGTAAGTATAGTAAATAGAGTAGAGAGGAATTAAAATAGATAAATAATGAGCTAGCATTAGAAAGACAGATTTTACAATTTAAGATATTTGAAGTAAAACAACTATGAGTGGCATGAAAATCTAAAGTGTATTCAGGTTTGTGTATAGCAAAACCTGAGTGGAGTTGAGGAAATTTAGAAACGAAATTCTTCTAAAAAAGGAGTTTATGTCCTTTGCAGGGGTATTGATGAAGCTGGAAACCATCATCCTCAGAAAAGTAACACAGAAACAGAAAACCAAACACTGCATGTTCTAACTCATAAGTGGGGTTGAAAAATGAGAACACATGGACACAGGGAGGGGAACATCACACACGGGGGCCTTTCTGGGGATAGGGGGAAAGGAGAGAGAGAGTGTTAGGACAAATACCTAATGCATGCAGGACTTAAAACCTAGATGATAGGTTGATGGGTGCAGCAAACCACCATGGCACATGTATACCTATGTAACAAACCTGCACGTTCAGCACATGTATCCCAGAACTTAAAATAAAAAATAAATTAATTAATTTAAGAGTTAAAAAAATTAAAAAATACTAAAGTCAGAAAAGATTTACTAGATTCCTACTATGTGCAAGATACTAAGAGAAAAAAAGCAAATAAGATATTCCTACTGCCCTCAAAAAGTTTACACGATGTGGAAAGGTGAACAAGTGTATTCATATAGGAAGAGATATAGAAGAAGATTAAGTGTTAGAAACAGAACCAGAACTAGGAATGAATAGGGTCTCAAAATCCAAAGAAAGGGACTTTCAGGAAGAAAGTCTAGGGCAAATTAGGTCAAGTGCTGAGGGGCTGAGAATCAAAAAGTGTAAACTTTTTGAGGGCAGTAGGAATATCTTATTTACTTTTTTCTCTTAGTATCTTGCACATAGTAGGAATCTAGTAAATCTTTTCTGACTTTAGTATTTTTTAATTTTTTTAACTCTTTTAAATTAATTATTTTTTATTTTAAGTTCTGGGATACATGTGCTGAACGTGCAGGTTTGTTACATAGGTATACATGTGCCATGGTGGTTTGCTGCACCCATCAACCTATCATCTAGGTTTTAAGTCCTGCATGCATTAGGTATTTGTCCTAACACTCTCTCTCTCCTTTCCCCCTATCCCCAGAAAGGCCCCCGTGTGTGATGTTCCCCTCCCTGTGTCCATGTGTTCTCATTTTTCAACCCCACTTATGAGTTAGAACATGCAGTGTTTGGTTTTCTGTTTCTGTGTTACTTTTCTGAGGATGATGGTTTCCAGCTTCATCAATACCCCTGCAAAGGACATAAACTCCTTTTTTAGAAGAATTTCATTTCTAAATTTCCTCAACTCCACTCAGGTTTTGCTATACACAAACCTGAATACACTTTAGATTTTCATGCCACTCATAGTTGTTTTACTTCAAATATCTTAAATTGTAAAATCTGTCTTTCTAATGCTAGCTCATTATTTGTTTATCTATTTTAATTCCTCTCTACTCTATTTACTATAGAGGCTAGCAGTTTATGAGTGTTTCCCTGTGCCCCGTACAGTTTCAGGCTTTTCACATTTTATTCAATACATCATTTAGGTAAGATCCGTTTACTGGATGGTAGCAGGGAACAAAAGGATAAATTTGGAAGTGATAACTTAGCTATGTTTGGAATTCTTTAACAAATAATAATAATAATAACAACAGATAATATTTATATCGTGCTTGATAGGTTCCAGGTGCTATTTGCAAGTACTTAACATGCATTCATCCATTTAATCTGATCAACAACTCAATTAGGTAGGTATAATTTTAATCTACATTTCACAGATAAGAAACTGAAAGCAGAAAATGTATTCAAGGTCCCCAAGCTAAAAAGTGGGATTTGTGGAAACAGAGAACTTCAGACTTAAGTAGTATGGCTTCAGAGCCCATTTCTTAACTCCTACACTATAATGGAGGAGGATCCTGGGCTCTCTCATGATACCCATAAAGATAGGATGGTTAAAAGACGGATTATAAAGGGTGGTGTACCCAGCTGATAAGAGCTTCAGAAGATAAGTGATAAGAAGACAGAATTAAATTGGGATGGCAGTGATGACTAAAATGGACACAAATGTAAAAGGGGAAATGAAGCTCTGCTCCTGGAAGATAGGAGAAATGACACTGTAGTAAATGTTTGAGGTTGTACAGAATTTGATTCCTAAAACTCAGTAAGCAAGCATTGAGAGCCAGCAAGGAGATCCTGAGAAGGTTGTACTGGATAGGGTATATGAATTTTGAACATCAGATTTGGTGTTATGGATATGTTTGCATTCCAATTCTGACTTTGTCAAGAAACATCTTTGTAACACTGTAGCAGAAAATACACTACTCTGTGCTTTAGGTTTCAAGCAATTTATCTTGAGTCAAGCAACTTACTAAGCTCTTTACATGCATTGTCCTACTCAAGCTTCATTCACAACCTTATGACATATGTATCATTAATATCTCCAAAATCACAGATAAAGAAATAAAGGATCAATGAGTTGAAATAGCTGCTTACCATGACAGTGAGTGGGGAATCTGGGATTCCAACCAGATCTGATTCCACAGTTCTTCATACCACTATGTCCATAATAGTTTTTTTTTTTTTTTTAAATAATCCAATATTACCAATGAGAAAAAACAGATTTTAGAATTTTGTACTCAACCTACAATTATGGAGCATTCATACAGGAAGAAAGGAGGTTGAGAACAATAGCAGCAGGGACAATAGGGGGTCAGTTATTTGAAACTGGCTATGTGTGCAGCCCCAACCTTCAGTACCCAGTTGGAGTGCTGGCTAGGGAAAACCCATTTCCAGCATTGTGCACAATGTTTTTAAGGAGGAGGCATAATGGGTGGTGGTTTTGTAACAGAAATAATCTGGAGAGAATTTGATAACAGTTTATTTCAAAAATGAGAAAAAAAATGGAAATAAGTCTTTATTGTTTAGTCTTTCCTAAATATGGATATTATTTTACAAGAGTTGTTCTTTCAATAGTGCAGGAGGAATGGTGGAGTACTGGTTTGCAACTTAGGAACTAGACTTTTCTAGAAAAGTCAAATTTTCAGGTACATATATAGATGTCAGATTTTTAATTTTTGGCTTGGAAAATGTTAAACTGTAAAATGTTCAAATTGTTTTCAATGTGTTACCATAGCTTAATATCTGCCATCAATAATTTCCATGTATTAAAGCATTTGCAGACATACTAATATTGAAAACATGCATGCCAGGAAATTCTATTAGGGCAATGGTAGATATAAATGGTTGATGTATTTGCAAAAGTACAGTAGGTCACCAAAGACCATTTGACCTTAATTCTCCAATATGTCATTTATTCTGCTTCCAGATAATTTCTGTAATTATCAAAGGATTCAGGTGAACATTTCCTTAGGTGAAATATCACAAAAATAGAAAACACAGGATTGTTTCCAGATCTGGATTAATGGGTCATCAAACCTCTACTGAGAGTCCATTATATATATTCAAAGCACATTTCTAGGTAGAAGGTTTTACCTTAAAACACTTTCTAAAAGTTACTTCTTAAAGATTTTGTCAAATCTAAGTTCATAAGAATCGTCTTTTAGACTTTCAAAATATTACATAACTCTAAGGTTAAAAAAGGATTATTAGGCTTACTTCCCACAATATACACAACGGTGCTGAGATCTGCTGGAAATCATAAAAGAATTTGAATTTAGTATTCTATTACTTCCAGTTTCTAGTCTATGCTGGCTCGACTTGGCTGCTTTTAGATTTTTGCAAAAAATATTGATGCATAAATTATGCACATAACTGTTGGACCATACAATTTTAATCACTGGCATTTGTCATTAGGAAAATAGTGTATATGGAACCAAAGATTTCACTGGAAGAATTTTCATTGTTTCTTTAAAGCAATAAAAGGTATAAATTTTAAGTACCCAACATTAGAAAATTGTTATAGTGCAATTGCAAAAACAGTGGCATGCTATATATTTATACAGTCAGCTTGAAAAATCTTGGGTTCTAGAGTTAAAAGTCCCTGGCTTCAAGTCCTGGTCTGTAACTTCCACGGCATGAAACCCTGGGCCAATTATCAAACCTGTACTGTGTTCCATTTCCCTTTTTATAAATTAGGGACAGTAACAGTATCAATCTCCTATGGTCGCTGTGAAATTTCAGTGATACAATGCATATATATGTACTTTCAGTGGTGACTAGCACAAAAATTTCTAAATAAATTTAAGCTATTATTTTAATGCCATCATTTTAAGCATCATAAAATAGAAAATTATAATGGAAAATTAAATAATGACATCACAAAATGTTTTAAAAACATTTTAATAAATCAAGTTGTAAAACAAAAGATATAGTATAATCTTATTCCATAAAAGTGTTTATACAAATAAAATACTTGAAAAAATATACACCAATATGTTAACAATTATTACTTCTGTGTGATGAGATTATGGGTGGTCTTATTATGTTTCATTTGTGTTATTTTATTATCTAATTTACCTCAAATTTCCTTCAGTGAATACTTATTACTTTTATAACAAAGTCTAAAGAGATGAAAATAAAATAAATTGCATGGCATATATTGATCAGTGCCAAAGTTAAAAGGACCTCAGCAGAAGTTGCTGCTATCAGTATGTCAATGGTTTCCAAGGCAAGAGATGCTAATGACAGCAAAAATACCACTGGGAGAAGGAGAGGTGTGGAGGGGAACTCAGTGTATTCAATATAAAGTAATGGAATTTGAGGTTGATGACATTAGGACCAAAAAATCCATTTCTACTGAAAATACAAAAGGTACAATTTCAACTTTTAAGGCCATTGCCATTGAAGTAGAGAATGATTGTTTTTAATGCTTTGAAAATACAGTGCCTTTACCTTGAGTGCAATATGTAAAGTCCTAAATAAATTTATTAATTTTCGATGCTTCCTTGGGGTTATCTTCACTTTAGTTGTTTTAGAGGTCATTTCAAGGTCTGGATAGGTTCATTCCCATTGTGGAAGGCAGAAGGACACAATTCTGGGAGAATCTTTAAGCCAAATTGCTATAGGTCTAGGATCACTTCAGTTATGAACTGCATGTCCATTGAAAATTCACAGGTTGAAACCCTAACCCTTAATGTAACGGTATTTGAAAGTGGGGCCTTGGGGAGGTAATAAGGTTTAGATGAGATTGTGTCTGGAGTTAGTTCCAGCCAGTGAGTTCATGGTCTCACAGACTTCAAGAATGCAGCCTTGGACCTTTGCGGTAAGTGTGACAGCTCTTAAAGATGGCACAACCCCAAAGAGTGAGCGGTAGCAAGGTTTGTTGTGAAGAGCGAAAGAACAAAGCTTCCACAGCGTGGAAGGGGACCAGAGCGGATTGAGGCTGATGGCTGGGGTGGCCAGCTTTTATTTCCTTACTTGTCCCCGCCCATGTTCTATTTTTGTCCTATCAGAGTGCCCTTTTTTCAATCCTTCCTGCGATTGGCTACTTTTAAGATCCTGCTGATTGGTGCATTTTACAGAGTGTTGATTGGTGCATTTTACAGAGCGCTGATTGGTGCATTTTACAATCCTCTTGTAAGACAAAAAATTTCTCCAAGTCCCCACCCGACCCAACGTCCAGCTGGCTTCACCTCTCAAGATCATGAGGTTGGGGCTGGGCGTGGTGGCTCACGCCTGTAATCCCAGCACTTTGGGAGGCCGAGGTGGGCAGATCACGAGGTCAGGAGATTGAGACCGTCCTGGCTAACATGGTGAAACCTTTCTCTACTAAAAATACAAAAAATTAGCCGGGTGTGGTTGCAGGCGCCTGTAGTCCCAGCTACTCAGGAGGCTGAGGCAGGAGAATGGCGTGAACCCTGGAGGCGGAGCTTGCAGTGAGCCGAGATCGCGCCACTGCATTCCAGCCTGGGCAACAGAGCGAGACTCCGTCTCAAAAAAAAAAAAGTGATCATGAGGTTGGGCCCCCATGATGAGATTAATGTCCTTATAAGAAGAGGAAGAAATGACAGCACTCTCTCCTTCCACCATGTGAGGACACAGGGAGAAGGTGGCTGTCTGCAAGGTAAGAGAAGTCTTCTTACCAGGAACCCTATCTGCCAGCGACTTAACCTTAACTATTTAGCCTCCAGAATTGTAAGAAATAAATGTATGTTGTTTAAACTACTCATTCCATAGTATTTTGTTAGAGTAGCCTGAAGTGACTAAGACAACATCTATACCCTCCCCTCCCCAGACGTGTGTGCATGTGTGTGTGGGCACGCATGCACACACACACACATGCACACACACATACAGGAGTACCCACACACACATATACACAGACTGTCTTCCCTAATGTACCTTCTTTAACCTCTTTGGCCTGTTAAATCCAATTAACTTCCAGAGAACACTTAATTTGATAACTGAACTAGACAATCTTTAAAATTCTATGATTCTGGGTCTCTCAACAAAGGTTGTCCAGCTGTTCTCCTTTCTACTCTCCAACTCTCAACCAGTTACCATGATCTGACATTCTAATTCTTTCAATATTCAGCTCATTAGCTCATTTATCTTATACCTTGGTTTTTCTAATGCCAGAAGTGGAAGCCTGATATTTCTTGATGATTTCCTGGGGACAACATGAAAATATTCTTGAGCCTTACACACCTGTCCATTATTTAACTTGTAATGGGCCCTCCACTTGGCTCCTACCTTCACTTCCCTCACCACTATCATCTTAACTAATCAGTCCAAAAAACTTCTCTTTATCAACTTCCTAGTCATCACAATGATACTTTTGTCATTCCGCACTCCCAAATGGGAAACCCTTAAAATCTCTCATCTTTGCTTTTAATCTCTCACTATATCTTCTAGTTTCTTCCTAAACTTAGTTATAATTAATCCTGTTACATCTTTGCTGAAACTTATTTAATCATAACTGAAACATTGCAACAGATTCCTTAATCATCAATCAATTTTCATAAAATGCCAACTTTACTGTTTCACTTCCAACCTGACAACAGAGATAAGCTTCTCTAACATTTTTTCTTCCACATCCAGTCCAAACTCAAACTGACTTCCAAGGCTTCCTAAACTTTGGTTTTTCTACTCTCCCCATCATACCTTTGCATTTATAAATTACAATTTTTATAAATTATTATATATATTTGCAAAATAAATAAGAATAAAAGTACTCTGTGCTGGTAGATATGAAAAATCTAGCCCTCTTACATGACTGTGGAACTATAAATGGGTCATCTTTTCCTGAGGACAGACTAGTAAATAATATCAGAAGCCTGAGAAATTACATGTTTTCTACTCAATAATTCCACATTTAGAAATTTATTCTAAGGAAATATCTGACCATTATTTGAGGAATATGTACTAGGACATTGATTTAAGTTTTCATTAACTGATATTGGTCAAATAAATGATGGCAATCTATACAATGGAACACTATATATACATAAAACATTGAAATAAAACTTTATAGTTTCATCTTTACATAGTAGAAGTTTTAAATATTTGAAATTTATGATTAAAGATTTCTGCATTTTAATTAATTTTAAAATTCATATTTTGGTGAATATGAAGTATTTTAAAGTAAAAATTCTATTTGGAGAAAAATGTGAAGGAAAAGACATTACACAAAAGAAAAAAACTTTAGAATGGCAAGAAAAACTTCCATCAACTATGTAAAAAAATCTAATATTAAATTGGGGAAAATATTTGAATATATTAACATTTAAGGGGTTCATTAATGTTTAGAATATATAACAAGCTTCTGTATATTAACAAAAAGCACGTCCATAAAAAATGGCAAAATGACATAAAGGGGCAATAAAATACAGAAAGTGTTCATATGGTCAAGAAATATATAAACAAATTTCAATCTCATGCATAAAAAACAAGAGGTAAATAAGAACAATAAGCAGGTATATTTGAGCCTGTTAAACTGGTGGGTCTGAGAATAAGAAGATACTTTTACAATCCTGGTGGAATGAAACGTCACTTCATGAAAACTATCCTTCTTTTGTATAACTACAAGTGGCATAAGAATGATGCCTAGTCAAGGAAACTCTAGGGTATGTAGACCATATCTTTGATAGTAACAAGGCATGAAAAGGGGGAGCAGTGATACTGAACTACAGTCCCAATGGGGATTTATAAAGGAGAGCTTTGTTGCCAGGGTGGAGACACACTGATTGGGAGAATAGAAGTAATTTGAGATAGAAAGTTGTAAATATCTGAAGAATGAGCAGCAGTAGTCCCAGAAATTCTATACAGAAGGATCTTAAAAAAAATCTGTTCAGAAAGAAGTGCAGTCTTGCAGATGCATTTTTCTTTTTCTTTTTCTTTTTTTTTTTTGAGACAGAGTCTCACTCTGTCGCCCAGGCTGGAGTGCAGTGGCGCGATCTCGGCTTACTGCAAGCTCCGCCTCCTGAGTTCACGCCATTCTCCTGCCTCAGCCTCCCGAGTAGCTGGGACTACAGGCGTGTGCCACCACACCCGGCTAATTTTTTGTATTTTTTAGTAGAGATGGGGTTTCACCATGTTAGCCAGGATGGTCTCGATCTCTGACCTCGTGATCCAAGATGCATTTTTCTAGCAAGCACAGTTTATATTTTGAATGTATGCTACAGATTAATAAAGATATCAACATTTTAAAAAACTATTTTAATTACATTTTACTTAGGACTGAGAAAAATTTATTTTCCATACTAATAAATGTATTTATCATTTGGTGGATGCCACTGGGGAGCAAACGAAGATTATGGGAGGAGGTCTAAAGCTTCCCCACCTTGCCGCCTCTACTGGGGATATGAATTTAGCCTTCCAAGTCTTTTCAGAGAATTTTAATTAATTAAATAAAAATAAAAGAGAGAAGACATATTTTTAATCCAAAACACTACCATGAATATATACAGTGTTTCTAATGAGTCTTCAGTATCAAAATACATACTGATGCTGAAGAATCATTTTGATAGTGAAGAATAAAAGCCCTCACCCATCCTGCTTAGTTTGTGCATTTACGCATTTTCCAGAAATCTTTGTTTGGGATTTTTTATAAACTCAGTGAGATACTTAAAATCACTTTAAATTCTTGAATTCTGCCATAGTTCACCACCATGAATCATATTGCTATAGTTGGGTGTCCTCCCTCCAAAGAGAATGGATACAAACTTACAGCCACCAATGGATTCAGAGAAAAAAAGGAAAGAGCTGTTAATCAAAAGCAATCCATGAAGTAGACTGCAGGGGAAAAAATATTCTTTCAAACCCACAATCTTACAAAATGGTACACAGTGTTGGCAAAAGTTTTATTGCTCTCAACATGTTGTTCCTTTGCAGCAGGTAATATGAGCTTACTGTGCCTTCCTTTCTCAGTGTTTGCCATCTCATGTCAGCTGGTGGTATGGAAGGAACCAGTGCCTGTAGTGTTCATGAGTGATCTGAATATACTTCAGCTCATAGCCCCCATTGTTAACAGAGCAAGAGCTGACAGCTTGAATGCTGGAAGAGGCAAGAACCAAAATAAAACAGATGTCAAAAAATGGGCTTGACTAGCATGCTGAGGAATCAATTGCTAATGGGTATACATTTCTGCCTATTTCCCACCTACTTCTGAAGGTCTTTGGCTAATATATTTTGACATTATCTCCCTCCCAAAAAGAGAACCATCACATACATAGTAATCTCAATCTCAGGACAAACCATATAATCATTATCTACAACATTCTCATTCTAATAAGATGCATTTCTTCCTTAGTGACAGTGTTTCTTACATTTTGAGAAAAATATCTTTTCAAAACTCAGTAATGACAGAAAAAATTTCCAGCTGCTGCTACACATTGTAGCACATATATGCCCACTACAGATATGAAAACACCCTTCACAAAGGGCTTTTATACTGCTTTATTAGAAATAATATTCATGATAAAAATAAGTTTCTAATTTTATTTTCACCGAGTTCATAGTTTCCTGCAAACAGTTGTCATTTAATAAATTCTGCTATATGATTATCCAAAGACATGGCAGTTCAAAAACTACGTTGGCGATTGGGAATAAGTACAAAGTAGTGAAATTTCTAAAACCAATTTTGAATTAGTGAAGCTAGTAAGGCACTATTAAGGAAATAAATTGTCACTGTTCTGCTTTTGTCTACATTGAATCTGTGAGTTCCACAAGGGAAGTAACCATATTTGTTTCCTCCCCACTACAGCGCTAATACCTGTCATAGTGTATATGGGTTGTATTTAGTCATGGGCCAGGTTTGCGGGTGCTCAAACTATGCAGTTGCAAAAGGACTCACACTTGGTTAAATGCTTTGCTATCACCATCTTGAAATTCTTAATAAATTTTGAACAAGGGACCCAACCATTTCATTTTTGTACTTGTCCCTATAAATTATATAGCTGGTTCCTCACTTAGTACCTGTGTGGAAAGAATAAAAAGCTAATTAACAAAAGCAGTGATTATCTAGATTTTTCACTATGAGCTCCAAAATTTTCAATCATATTTTGAGCTCTTCAAAGTTAGGCTCTATAATGTCCCTGAAAGTCAATCTAGCCTAAATATTGAAAGTCTCATCAATGACCTCTCTTTAGAAAAAAAAAGAATGAAAAGTACATATCCATATGCTATTTCAGTGTATTTCAATGTATTTTTTTCATACTTTCCTACCACTTTGTGAGGTATTCTAGATATGACTTTTAATGTAGAGAAATCAAGAACCAAAGAGATAACACAGAAATGAAATTATAATCTTATTCATTCAACATTCAAAAATATTTGTTTATGTTGTACCATGTGCTCAGGCCTGGGATAGAAGAGATAAGGAATTTAAAAAGAAACATGCAGCTCAATGGTTGTTTTAAAAAGTTGCCAATCTGCAAGGGAACAAGGTAGTGAGGAGAAGAAAGAAGACAAGAATATGACACTTTCAAACATCATTTAAACATTTGTTAAAAGGCAAAATGCATAGAACAGATGGTCAGAAGTGAAGAAAAATGGATGTTTCCACATAAGCGAAAAAGGCATGAAAATTTAGGCATCTAAGATAATAATGACATACTCCTGTATCTATAAGCTGATCACACTGTGGCTTACTTAGTTCAACTGGACAGTAAGCAATACTATAAAACTATAATAATTCAGGTAATGTGTTTTTGACATATGTATAAACAGGTTAATTGATAAATAGACTATTGCATAGACAAAATCTGGCATATAAAGAACTGAATATATTATATTGGAAGCATAAAATCACTAAAGATGAGATGGATCATTCAAGAATGGTGCTGAGATAATTGTTGAACTATCCAGAAAACATACACACACACATAATTTACATTCTTGCCTTATACCATGAACTAAAATAAATTCCAAATAATAGAAAATATTTAAATAAAGTAACACTATCGAATTACTAAATAAAATAATCTGTATTTACTTATAATCAGGATAAAGAATTCTTAAAGCTCAAATGGTAGAAAGAAATGCAAAAGGGAAGGAAATATACCATACAAAATATAAACATGGATGTATCAACGAAACGAAGATACCCCACTGACCATGATGTGACTGTTATACACTGCAAGCCTGTATCAAAATATCTCATGTACCCCATAAGTATATGCACCTACTAGGTACCCATAAAAATTAAAAAATAAAAGAAAGAATGACAATTGAAAAACAGAGCAAATATCTTCAACATACATGATAAGAAAACATTATTAACACAGAAAAATGAAAGAAATATTCAGGGAATTCAAAAAGAAGTCATGTGGTTCAATGACATATCAAATAATATATGGTAATAATGAGATGCCATTTTTTTTTTTTTTTTTTGAGACAGAGTTTGCTCTGTTGCCAGGCTGGAGTGCAGTGGCGTGATCTCAGCTCACTACAACCTCCACCCCCCAGGTTCAAGCGATTCTCCTGTCTCAGCCTCCTGAGTGGCTGGGATTACAGGCACACGCCACCATGCCAGCCGATTTTTGTATTTTTAGTAGAGAAGGGGTTTCACCATGTTGTCCAGGATGGTTTTGATCTCTCGACCTCATGATCCTCCTGCCTCAGCCCCCAAAGTGCTAGGATTACAGGTGTGAGCCACTGCGCTAGGCCGAGATGCCATTTTTAACTACTGTAATAGATATCATGATGTGTTGCTCAGATTCCATTTCAGGACTGAAATGCTCATTCCCTCAGCTGCTATGGTATGACACCTGACAGATTTCAGCTTAGTTTCTCTCTCTAGGAAATGCCATTAACTAAAGAGAGCCACAATATCCCTTACATTAGAAGAGCCTGTGTCTAATGACTGATCCAGTGCAAGAGTATATAGTCCAGCTACATTGTGCCATGGTGGGGTCAATCTGAAAAGCTGTTGCAGCTCTGAAGTTCTCACAAAATTGAATGAGGTCTGTTGCAACTGCATTTCAATTCAGCTCCTCTCTCTGCCCAATTCTGCTTCCCTGCCCCCTCACATGTGTTGTTCGCAAAAGCACACATGCTTCAGTAAACATCCTGTATGCACATCTCAGTCTGTTTCCCAGTGAGCCCTATCTGAACAGTCAGTAATAGAAGTAGGGTAAGAGAAATACAGACTTGTAATGAGATATGTTTGGTGTCAGTTGCAGCATCAAGACCAGATGCGCTGGCTGGGATTGTATGTAGTTCACTTCACTAACCTTCCTCTTGTAAATTTTCCTGAAAACTAAACCAACCAGAATCCGAGAGGTGCTGTTCCCACTAATTATTATACAAAGTAAGTGGATCTCTTGGAGAAGAGGCGCTAGCACACCACTCAATTTCTCTTTTCAGAAGAGCATTCATTCCTCAAGTGCTGGTCCTGTTGGCAGCACGCAGCTTATGGCTAAATGTTTCTCCAAGAGTTGCCTTCAGCTGAAAACAGCCTCCTCATCCAAGGTCACACCCATCCTAGGGCAGCTTGCAGGGTGTTACAAGCATATCAAGTCCTACCCCCTTTTATTCAAGGCAGGATGATTTTGAAGGAACATCCCAGCTCTCGAGTTTTTATAAAGATCAACAGAGCCCTTGTTGAAATTGTGCTGCAGTTTTATTTCTCCCCCTGCCTTGTCCTGCTTCTCTAACCCCTCACTTGTGTTATTCCCAGTAAACCTCTTGTACAAAAATTTTAGAGTCTGTTTTCTAGGAAATCCAACCTATGACACCTATCGTATTGGGGAAAATGATAAAATAAAAGACAGGAAGTCCCTGACTTACATGGTTTGATTTACAATCTTTTGGCTTGACAAGGTGATACACCTTCAGCACACTCCTTGACTTATGATGGGACTACATCTGGATAAACCCACCATAAGTTGAAAACATACAGAAATAGTCAAAAATGTACAGGGACTGTGAAAATATATCTTCAACTTACAGTATTTTCAATTTACAATGGGTTTATCCAGACATAGTCCCGTCTCAAGTTGAGGAACAAGTATAATACGCAATGTATAGGTTTTGCGTGAAGAACATAAAAAAGGCAACATAGATCATGTCTCTATGAAAAAAAATAGATTTTTCTAACATATTGATGATGAAAATTTAAATACATACTTTCTGGAGGACAATTTGTAACAGGATTATTTCTGATGTAAATAATCACAATAAACACAATCCTATGTGTGCTGATTGATTCTATGGAAATAACCCTGAAGATATTCAAAGATTTGGCTCTAAATGTGCTTATAAGTGACTGTTCATTATACAAAAGACTGAGAGAAAACAGACAAAACAGTCCACAAACAGGTCAATCATCAGTAAAATGATATAAAGTAGAATATGTCATTAAAAATGATTTTATAAAATATATAATGGCAGGAAGAGAACATATATAGCCAGTTTTCTATATCCTTGGGTTCTGCATCCAATGGAAAAAACATTTTTTAAATGGATGATTATATTTGTACTGAACATGTACAGACCTTTGTTCTTGCCATTATTCCCTGAGCAATACAGTAGAACAACTATTTACATAGCATTTACATCATATTATAAGTAATCTGGAGGTGATTTAAAGTACACGGGAGGATTGCATAGGTTATATGCAAATACGGCATCATTTTATATAAGGGACTCCAGGATCCATAATCTAGGGATATCAATATCTATGGATTATCTGTCCATAATCTAGGTATTGGATCCTAGAACCAATCCCCTGAGGATACAGAGGGACTAATGTATTAAATTTTAAAAAGAGTTTCTAAAAATCCTGTGAAGTCTGATTTCGTTTCTGTTGGAAAAGAAAAAGGATATGTTAACTCACATCCAAAACGCTTCAACTCTGACATTTTTCTTCCTTGTGGGAAGCAAATGAGATTAACAGACTGAGGACACTGTCTCCTCAAGGCTTATGTGTATTGCTTGAGAAAATGCTTAAGAAATTTAAGAAGCTTGTACATGTAAAAAGAAATTGTTAGATGTACAGTAAACATAGGGAATTCTGTATAATCTGAGTGGTCCTTTTTGAAAATTGATAATCATTCTGGTCTAAGTATTATTTTCAGAATTTTCTCTTTGAGATTGATACTTTTAGGACTCTTTAAAAAATGTATGCATTTCTACATAATATCAGGGAAATTATTATTTACAAATGTCCCAAAGTTTAAAAATACATTAAGTTGATGTCACCATGGGTCCTTAATTTGTTTGCCCTGAATAAAACCAGATAAAAAGTCAGAATTTTATCTTTATTTGAACAGTTCTTTGGACGTCCTTGCTAGAAAACTTCTGTGTTTACCAGCCCAGCTGCCAAAGAACTTCTATACCAGCTCTGGGACCCTGAGAAAAATCCCACTGTCAGGTAATGTTTATGTCAGGGACTGTGAAATGTGGCATTCTTAGGATTAGAGAATAGAGAGAAGTGGAATATTTTGATGCATCTCTTTTCCTTGGAGTCACCTGCTTTACATTTCATTACAATCTAGAAGACTGAGGTACAATGTCATCTTCTGAGAAGGGAGGAAATGCAGCCCTAGTTCGAAAGCTCTTACAATCCTATAGTGATACGGTGATGATAGACAGATAGTAGTAAAGCAAATAAGAAAGAGACCATTAGCTTGAGGTTGTCTCTGTACCCAGAGTTCTTATGTAAGCAAATCATAAGTAAACTTGGAGACATTTCTTGTAACTGATCAAAGAAAAAGCTGAACCAAGCCTCAGCTTACCGCAACAATCAACTAGCTGATATGTTAACTGTGACCTCCCATTGAACCATAGCCAAATCAGGTAAACACCTCGCTGTAGCTAATAAACCAACCAACTTCTTTGCTTTGCTTCTGTGGTCAGCCTATAAAAGCTTGCTGCTTAAGCCACTAGAGTGGAGACCATAATCTCATTTCAATTTGGTGCTTCCCAATTCATGAATTGTTCTTTACCCAAATGAACTGTTGATTCTTGTTTTGTCTCAATGTTTTCTTTTGATTGACAGCAAAAGTGCTGGAAGCACATGGTATCTTTATTAGATTTGTTTGTAGTTCTGGCCCATAGATCTATCCAGGCCCAAGTACCTTAATTGCCACCTAGTATAATGAAAAAATAATGGTTAACTCTGAGTGGTGGTGTTGATGATTTTTCCCCTGTTTAATTTTTTTTAATTTATATATTCTAAACTGTCATACATATATATAAACATACACAAACACATGTACACATATAAACACACATACATACATATTGTGTTTTAATTTTTTACTGATATATAATAGTAGTACATATTTTAGGGACACATGCAATATTTTGATACATGTATACAATGTATAATGATCAAACCAGGGTAACTGAGATATCATTCACCTCAAACATTTATCTTTTCTTTGTGTTAGGAACATTACAGTTATTCCCTTCTATTTTAATTTACAATAAATTATCATTAACTATAATTTCCCAGTTGTACTATTAAATATGAGAACTTATTCCTTCTATCTGACTGTATATTTGTATCCAATTTTAACCAACTTGTCTTCATCTGTCCAACACCTTTCCCCTCCCAGCTTCTGGTAACCACCATTTTAGTCTCTACTTTCATGAGATCCACTTTTCTTTAGCTTCCAGAAATGAGTGAGAGAATGCAATATATGTCTCTCTATGCCTGGCTTATTTCACTTAACAGAATGAAATAAGTTCCTTCCATGCTGCTGCAAATGACAGGATTCTATTCTTTTTTGTGGCTGAATGATATTCCATTGTCTATGCATACCACATTTTTTATCTATTTATTCATCGAGTGGCACTGAGGCTGATTCTATATCTTGACTATTGTGAATAGTGCTGCAGTAAACATGAGAATACAAATATCTCTTCAATATACCAATTTCCTTTTTTTGGAAGTACTCAGTAGTGGAATTACTGGATCATACAGTAGTTCTATTTCTCATTTCTTGAGGAACCTCCCTAGTGTTTTCCATGATGGCTATACTTCTTTATATTGCCAACAACACTGTATAAATGTTCCCCTTCTCCATATCCTTGCCAGCATCTGATATTTTTGTTGTTGTTGTCTTTTTGATAATAGCTTTTCTAACTGGGGTGAGATGATATCTCCTTTTCTTAATGTTTAGCATTTCCTCATAAATTTGTTGGCCATTTGTATGTCTTTTGAGAAATGTCTATTCAAGTCTTTTGACCATATTTTAATCATATTATTTGGTGTTTGCTATTGAGTTGTTTTAATACATTATATATTCTGATTATTAATCTATTTTTGGGTAGTTTGCAATTTTTCCCCATTCAGTAGGTTGTTGCTTTCCTATGTTCATTGCTTCCTTTGCTCTGCAGATGGTTTTTAGTTTGATGTAATCCAATTTGTGAATTTTGGTTTGTGTTGTCTGTGTTTTTGAGGTCTGTCCCCGAAAATCTTTGCCCTGGCCAATGACCTGTAGCATTACCCCAATGTTTTCTTCTAGTAGTATCAAGTTTCAGGTCTTAGATTTAAGTCCTTAATCCATTTGGGGTTGATTTTTGTAAATGGCAAAAGATGAGGATCTAGTTTCATTTTTCTGCATATGGATATCCAGTTTCCCAGCACCGTTTATTAAACAGGCTCTCCTTTCCCAAATGCACCTTTCTTGCAAATCAGTTGACTCTAAGTGTGGATTTATTTCTGAGTTCTCTATTCTGTTCCATTGTTCTGTATGTCTGTTTTTATGATAGTACCATGCTGTTTTGGCTATTATAGCTTTGTAGTATACTTTAAAATCAGGTAATGTGCTGCCTCCAGCTTTTGGTTTTGCTCTGTTTTTCTCAGAATTGCTTTAGCTATTCAGGGTCTTTTCTGGTTACTTGTGAATTTTATGATTATTTTTCTTATTTCTGTGAAGAATGTCAGGGGAATTTTGATAGAGACTGAATTAAATCTCTAGATCACTTTGGGTAGTACAGAGATTTTAACAATACTAATTATTTCAAGCCATGAACATGGGATGTCTTTCCAATTTTTTTGTGTCTTCTTCAATTTATTTCATCAGTGTTTTATAGTTTTCCTTGTAGAGATCTTTTATTTCTTTGGTTAAATTTATTCTTAGAGATTTTAGTTTTTGTAGCTATTGTAAATGGGATTACTTTCTTGATTTATTTTACATACTGATTGCTCTTAGTGTGTAGAATACTACTAGTTGTTTTGTACATTGATTTTATATCCTGTTAATTTCCTGAATTCATTTATCAGTCCTAAGAGCTTTTTTGCTGGAGTATTTAGATTTTTCTACATAAAAAATCATGTCATCTGCAAACTAGAATAATTTGACTTCCTCTTTGCTTATTTGGATGCCTTTTATTTCATTCTATTGCATAATTTCTCTGGCTAGGAGTTCCAGTACTATGTTAAATAAAAGTGGTGAAAGTGGGTATTCTTATTTGTTGCAGAACTTAGTGAAAGGTTTTCAATTTTTCCCATTCAGTATAACATTGGCAGTGGCTTTGTCATATATGGCCTTTACTGTGCTGCAATATTTTCTTTTTGCTTTTTGTACCCAATTTGTTAACTTTTATCATGAAGGATGTTGAATTTTATCAAATGCTTTTGCAGCATCTAGTGAAATGATAATATGGTTTTATCTTTGATTTTGTTGATGTGATGTATTGCATTTATTGATTTTTGTACGTTGAACCATCCATGCATCCCTGGGATGAATCTCACTTGATCACAGTAACGATCTTTTTAGTGTGTTGTTGAGTTTGGTTTGCTGGTATTTTGTTGGGAATCTATGTTTATCAAGGATATTGCCCATTAATTTTGTTGTTGTTGTTGCGACCTTGTCTGTTTTTAGTTATCAGGGGAATGCTGGTCTTATAGAGTAAGTTTGGAAGTCTTCCCTCCTCTTCAATTTTGTAAAATAGTTTGAGTGGTGAATTAATCATATATGGCCTTTATCAAATTGGTGTTAGTTTTATTTAAATGATTTTAGACTTTAGCAGTGAATCCATTTGGTCCTGGGCTTTTCGTTGAGGGGAGACTTTTTACTACTGTTTTGATATTGTTAGCCACTGTTGGTCTGTTCAGGTTTTCTATTTCTTCATGGTTCAATCTTAGTAGATTATAAGTGTCCAGAAATGTATCCTTTTCATTTAAGTTTTCTAATTTGTTGGCATGTATTTGTTCATAACAGTTTTTAATAATTCTTTGTATTTCTGTGGTATCAGTTGATATATCTCCTTTTTTGTTTCTGATTTAATTATTGATATCTTCTCTTTTTAAAATTAGGATAGCTAAAATTTTGTCAGTTTTGTTTGATCTTTTCATAAAAATGAACTTAGTTTCATAGAGATTTTATATTGTTTTCTATTCTCAATTTTTTATATCTGCTTTTATCTTTATTATTTCTTTTCTTCTACTAATTTTGGGTTTGGTTTATCATTACTTTTCTAGGCTTCTGAGGTGTAGGTAGGTTGTTTATGTGAAATCTTTATATTTTTCAGTATAGGCATTTATTGCTATAAACTTTTCTCATAGTACTGCTTTTGCTGGATCCCATGGGCTCTGATATATTGTGTTTCCATTTTCATTTGTTTCAAGAAATTTTTAAATTTTCTTTTTATTTTCTCCATTGAATCATTGATCATTCAGGAAGGTGCTAATTTTTATATACTTTTACAATTTCCAAATTTCCTCTTGTTATTGATTTCTAGTTTTGGATGTGTCTATAAAAATGTTTGATATGATTTTGTGTGGAGACTTGTTTTGTGGCCTAACATATGTTCTATCTTGGAGAATGATTCAGGTGCTAATAAGAAGAATGTATTCTGCAATAGTTGGATAAAATGTTTTGTAAATGTCTTTTGGGTTCATTTGGTTTAGAGTATAATTTAACTTCAATGTTTCTTGATGGTATTCTGCCTGGGTGATCTGTACATTGATGAAAGTCAAGTGTTGAAGTCCCCTACTATTATTGTGTTGCAGTCTTTCTCTCCCCATTAGATCTATTATTGCTGTATATATTTGGGTGCTCCAGTGTTGGGTGTATATATATTGTGATGTACTCCTGCTGAATTGACTCCTTTTTCATTCTATAATGACATTCTTTGCCTCTTTTTAGTTTTTGAGTTAAAATTTATTTTAGCTGATATAAATGTAGCTAGTCTTGCTCTTTTTTGATTTTAATTTACATGGAATACTTTTTCCCGTCCCTTCACTTTCAGTCTATGTGTGTCTTTAGAGGTCAAGTGAGTTTCTTGTAGACAGTGTATAGTTGAGACTTGTTTTTTAATGAATTCAGTCACTCTATTTTTTTAATTAGAGCATTCAGTTCTTCTACATTCAGTGTTATTAGGGGTTGGTAAAGGTTTACTACTACCATTTTGTTTCTTATTTTATAGTTGTTTTTTTTAACTCCTTTCTTTCTTACTACTTTCCATTGTGGCTAAGTGATTTTCTCTGGTAATATGTTTTAATTTTTTTTTTTAGTGTATGTATTACAGGTTTTTGCTTTGTAATTATTATGAGAATTAGAAAAAAACGCTATTATGAGAATTAGAAAAAACATTCTGTAGTTATAAGAAGTTATTTAAAACTGATACCAACTTAACTTATTGATTGCAAAAAAGATACAAACAAACCCTGTACGGTTTAACTTCTTTGTCTTCTCATATTTTAAATTTTTGGCGTCACCATTTACATTTTTGTATTGCCCATTTCTTTAAAAATTGTTGTAGTTACTATTATCTTAAGAGTTTTGTCTTTTAGTCTTCTTATGAAGGATGTAAGTGGTTTACATACCATAATTACAATATTAGTGTAACAATCATGTTAGCATCCTTTTCTTTCAGTTTAAAGAACTCCCTTTAGCACTTCTTGTAAGAATGTTCTGGTAGTGATAAATTCCCTTAGTTTTTGTTCGTCTGGGAAAGCATTTATATCTTCTATATTTATAAAAGATAGCTTTGCTCAATACAGTATTCACAGTTTATTTATTTTTTATTTTTTTCCTTCAGCACTCTGTATATTTTATCTAACTCCTTCCTGGCCTGTAAGATTTCTGCTGAAAAGTCTGCTACCAGGCATGCTGGATCACCCTTCTATATTATTTGCTTCTTTTCTCTTGATGCTTTCAGAATCTTCTCTTTGTCTTTGATTTTTTAGAGTCTGATTAGGATATCTCTTGGCATATGTTTATTTAGGTTGAATCTGACTGGTGACTTTTGACTTTCCTGTACCTGGATATTTATATCTTTCTCCAGGTTTGGAAATTTTTCTGTTATTATTTCTTCAAATAAACTTTCTACCCTTTTATCTTTCTCAGTTCCCTCTTTAACTCCAATAACCCAAGTATTTTATCTTCTGATTTTGTCCCATAGATCTTGTAAGCTTTTTTCATTCCTTTTCATTCTCTTTTCTCCTTTTATAGTGTATTCTTAAATAGCCTGTTTTGAGCTCACCGATTCTTTCTCCTGTTTGATCAGTTCTGCTGTTGGTGCCCTCCACTGTATTTTTTATTTCATTCATTGTATTTTGAACCTCCAAGATTTGTTTGACTTTTAAACTTATTTCAATATCTCTGTTATTTTTTTCAAAAATTGGTTTTTTGTTTGTTTGTTTGTTCTTTTTTAGTTCACTGAATTTCCTTGAAACAGCTATTTGGACTTCTTTGTCTGAGAGTTAACATATCTTCATTACTTTATGGTTGGCCTCTGATGCCTTATTTTGTCCAGTTGATAAGGTCATATTAAATGTTCTTAATTTGTGGCAATATCTCCACATTGAAAGATAAGGTATTTATTTCAGTCTTTGCAATCTGGATTTGTTTGTGTCTGTTTTTCTTCAGAAGGCCTTCTAGAAATTCTAAGCGGCCTGACTGTTATGTTCCCAGAGGCTGTGATCATTGCACCTGTCCCAACGCTAGAGGAAGTGCTATGCCCAAGTTTGCCACAAGTCTCATGAGGGCTCCAATTTTGATGGAGCTTTCTGGCTAAGCGGAGCTGGGGAAGACCCAAGGAGAGTACTGGAGCTGTGTAGACATGGCTGGGATCTGAGTCCAGGAGACTGCCTCCATGGCCCAGATGTGTATGCCTCCCCACCTGTTTCTGTACAGAGAGGACAGTCCCCCATCTTCAGCAAGAGGGTCCACAGCTGAGATTGGGCTGCTTCAGGATCTGATGTGGGACACAATCTGGAGATCCTATCTCATTGGCTTAGACAGACACACATCTCCCAGCAGGTTTCAGTGCAGATGAGATAATTCCTGAACTGAAACAAGAGAATCTGGAGCTGAGAGTGGCCTCCTTGGAGTCTGCTGTGGGGGTGTCTAGTGAGCCTGGTATCATTGACTCAGAGGGGTGTGTGTCACTTAGCAGGTTGCTGTACAGATGGGATTTTTTCCCCCACTGCAGCAAGAAGCACTAGAGCTAAGACTGGGCCCCCTTGAGACCTGCTGTGGGACAGTCACTGGAGAGCCTGTCTTGTTGGCCCAGACAGGTATCTCCTAGCAGGCCTCAGCACAGATGGGAGAGTTCCCTAACTGCACTGGAAGGGGCTAGTGCTGCAACTGGGTCCCCTTGGGATCTGCTATGCAATAAAGGTTGGAGATCCCATCAGAGAGATTCAGCAGAATTCCAGGCTGTGAGATATGGGCATCCCCTTCTAGGTCCTTGTGCAAGGACCTCTGAGCTGAGACCTCAGACAAGGAGTGTTGGAACAGAGCCACAGGGCAACTTTCAGGTTCACTGCCAAAACAAGTATCAGCAAGCCTTCCCACCAAGGCACTAGTATGTACGATTCTTTCTAGACCTCTTGGCAGATGGTTTTGGTGGCAGACTCAAGGCCAAAAGTGGCTGTAGCAAACCCCCTTGGGGGACTAGGCCATTTCTGGGCTTGAACTTGGGAGCAAGCCGGCAGATCAGCCAGCTAGGTGCTGGTCTGCCCTCTCAAAATGACCCTCCTTGGTCTTGGGCTTTACCAGGGTTTTAGAAACTCCTATCTGAATCCTAAAACTCCTGCAGAGAAACTTTTGACTATAGATAGGTACAGAATTCTTACTTTTGTCATGGAACATGAGCATGTTTTCTTCTATTCCACGATCTTGGTGACTTCACTCCCTATATTGCTTTTATGCTAAAAAAAATGGCTTAAATATAATATGAGCTCAATTAAAAAATAGCAAACCATGACATGTTTGTAGCAAAGATGACAAAGGATTGTTATGCTTGCTTTATAAAGTTACACATATTATATAATATATAATTTACATGTGAACTTTCTAAAATATGAAATTCACAATTAAGAAAAAATTAGGCAAAGTACCTTAGCAGCAAACTCATAAAAGGATATACAAATGATGAATACATTTTTAGAATTGGAACTTACTGAAACAAGTAAAAGAATATACATAATTTTACTTATCAAATTAGTAAAGACTGAAAGGGACAAAGAAAAACTTGAGGCCAGTAAGGATAAGACAGGAAGTATTATATAGTGACGATGGATCAATAAATTGTCTTAAAATTTGGAAAAACATTTTGACAATAGGTATCAACATTTTTTAAGATCCATTCTTTTAACTCTTTTAAACTTTAATCCCTTTGGTTAAAATCATCCCAAGGAAACAAAATATCTAAATGATATACACAAATTAATATTAATATCTATATTGATTAGAAGAGAATAAAAAAGATACCATGATATACATGACTATATAAATAAATACATACCAAAAGGTTTTTACCACCATTATAGTGAGTTTAATAAATAGTTTTAATGTATATTGAGAAGCATGTGTGAATGTAAAATATGTGTTCTGTGTATATATGAATATATAAAAAGGTAGCATAGTTTCAATTATGAAGAAATATGTAGACAAAACACTGGAACAAAATAAGTGCAATATTAACAATGGTTGCCCCTGAGTGGTGGGATTATGATTGCTTTATTCTATCCTTATTTACCCTTTTTTGTAATTAAAAAAAAATTCACCCTAAGGATGTAATCCTTAGAAAATCAGAAATAAAATAGTAAAAGAGCAAACAATGATTTTAAAAAATCCGTATATTATTTTCATTAAATGTGTATTATTAAGCCAAGGAAGGTACTATACAGTAATTATGCCAATATAATATTAATCAAGATATCTGGATTTTAATCCTTGTTCTGACAGTTTCTAACAATGTGACTTTGCTCTCACCTATTTACTGATTGTTTGATAATAGAGGATTTATTTAATTCCTCTGAGCTTCAGTTTTCACATCTTTAAAAGGATTATAATGAGTATTTCATGGATTGTTGGAGGGATTAAATAATTTTAAAAGGGAAAGTACCAAGCAACGTGCCTGACACCCTCTAGGTGTTTCATCAATGTTTGTTGAAGGTAAAACAGCTGGGTGGTTCCACCATTGGAAATTACATTTTTTTAAGTGTAGAAACAGCCTTACTTCACAGTTCTGGGTCATAATCTCCTACCAGACAAAAGAATATCCTAAAAATATCTGTGCCTCTGGGCAGTAACCAACTCAATGGAGCAATGCCAATGAGAATATTAGTCCTGTCTGAAACCTTTCTTCTTTTTATTTTCTTTTAGCCTTTTTTATATTGTTGTTTATTTGATTTAGAGAATGATATTTCAGCCTGAATTATTCTCCAGGATTTGTTCTTTTATTTGTTTATAGAGTAATTAACAGTGAGCTTTAATTCATTCCACATTTGAAAGGATATTGTTCTATGCCTTAAATTCATATGAAAACTTTTTTTCTTCAAAGAAGAGGAACAAAAAATAAAAAAGGAGGGACATCTGTAGTAAATTCTGGAGAAGGATGGACATTTTAGACATAGTAGTTCCAAAAAACTGCAAAGCAGAAATTAATCCCATTGCCTGTGGAGTTCTGAGGATGCGCAGGGCAGCGGATCTCATTTAGAATCCTCCTTTGCCATCTATTAAGAAGTGAGCATGGCAGAGCTGGCCATGGGGGAGACTTTTTGATTCTCAATTCCTCTGAACACTGTCAGTGTTTAATCAATAGCTAGTCTGGGCATCATTAAACATGTGCTCTCAGTTCAAGGTCCTCTGATCGGGATGGTTGCGGGAATTGCTTAGTTTTGCTGTAAAGTGCAAAAAAAGGGTGCCTACATTCAGGTTAGCCTACTTAAAAGAGATACAATTTGAAACAGTATTGCCTTAAATAAGACCTATTTTAATGGGTCACATAGAATATCAATTATTCTTGATCTCATAATTTTTGCTTCCAATGCAAGATGTATCCTACTGAATCTGAGATTCTGCACTTACTAATTTATGCTTGCTACAAGGAGAAGGGTTAGCAAATATGTCAGTCACTGGAATGAAGGAAGCCTATTCTTCCACATCTTAAATTTTGTAGTTCAATGATTCCATACAAGTTTAAATTCCTTATACCATGGGCTTAATCAACTGTGTAACAAAGGCAGGGCTGTTTCAACACTGTGGAGTAAGGCTGCAGAGGCCTAATTTTTTTTTCTTCCTAGTTTTAATCCACTGTTTTTCCTCCTAGTTTTAATACACTGTTCTGATATGTATATGATACGGCACTTAGCAAAAACTTCACTAGTCTTATGGAAATACTAAGAGATGAAATAGTGTAGTTCTTATACCACAGGGTCTCATAAAAGTTATAATGAGAAATAAGAAATATTATTAAATCTTTTTTTTTGGAAATAAGACCAGATTGAAATTAGACTGTTTTCAAACTTAAATAATTTTTTAAAATGTGAGTTGTAGAAGTCAGGTCATTCTCCATAGACAAAAGAGGCCTAATTAATTGGCTCAGTATAAAAATAAATTTACATTTGTCCCCTGAATCCAGGAGATACACTGAAATCTTGAACATTTTCCTGACATACAATATGAAAATGTTAGAAGCAGGAAATCAGTCAAACCATTCCATTGCAATGATTAAAAGTTTGAGTAACATACTATATTCACTTCTAAAATAAATGAATGTGGGCACTGGGATTATGACCAAGCAGAACAGGCCAAGACACCTTTCATGCTATTGGTTTACAATCCATGAATCTTATTTGGTGAGAACCAATATGATGAAGGTTTTAGCAAATTCAAAACCATACAATATAAAAACCTTCAAATCCAATTTTAAACAATGTCAAATACAAATAAGTCATGGAACCTGTTTTTTATTATTAATCATTGGGTTATTATTAAACAATGTAGCAAAGTTTTAGAACTTGCCCTTTGAATGCATACTGAAATTATTGTATTGACTTTGATAAAGCTAATTTTAAATGTTTGTGAAAAAATCTAACTATGAAATTTTATGTGGTCTATATAAAACCTTTTTTTTGGTAAAATAAAATGTTTATGGCTAAGTATGCATAGGAAAAGCACTGCAGTTTCTTGGCATTCAGTCCTTGATTATTATCATTACCCACAGTGCCAGAATTTTTCACTAGTTCCATCTTAATGCAATAATCTCTTTCTCAGGCTCCCTGATTCTATACATAACAAACTCATTTTCACACAACACTGCAACACACTGCAACACTTTTAACACAACACTTTATATTTCAATTGGTGTCTTTCCCTTCCTTAAAAAGCTTTAACAATAAAATCCAAGCAACCTACTTTTGCATAGTTATGGCTTTTGTTTGTTTTAGCACAACTGGATTCAATTGGTCATCTCTGCTCAAGACATATTCAGGATCTACCACTTAGAAGGTGTGTGACCTTTGCCAAGTTATTTAAACTTTCTAAGCGTCATTTTTTTCACAATGGTAAAATGGTGACAACAATATCTCCCACCTCATAGGGTTTCATAAAGTTTAAATGAAACAGTAGATGTGATGCGCTTAACACTGTGCTCCTATAGATAACAAGTACTCCATAAATATTATCCATTGTTATCATTTAACAACATCCCCACGTTCACACAGCTAGCAGGTGCAAAGCTGGGATTCTAACTTAGAGCTTCTTGGTGCTAAGGCTCATGATCTTTCCGCTATGCACTCTGTATATCGGATGTCTTAAGGGAGATTTGGATGAATGCTGGCTCCCATTCAGTTCAGTCAAATCCTCTAACACAGACCTGTAGTGCAGAATTTCTATATTGTTGATTGAAGTGAGAGCCATAAGATTTACACACCAGACACTGGGGAGACAAGGTTGACATTCCATTGTAAAAGCTTAAGATTCAGACTTGTATTCCTGCCCAGACAGAAGGCCAACCCACTGCAGTCCAGACAAAACCAGTGGGGGAGTCTACAGAATGAGCCAACTTTTTATTTTCCAAGAGGAAACAGAGAGAATCTTTGTAAACTCCCAAACTTGGGATAAAATAAGACTTAAATTACCATATCATATAGCCTGGAAGAAAGAATTTTAGCAAAGATTGCATGGCAGATGTACCCAACCATCTATCCATCTTCTTTTTTCCCTTCAAAAAGTATAAAACACACTTGAATACACTTCCCTATGATGTTTATTGGCTTAAGAGCAGTAATCTGTGGGGCTATAAACCCAAGTCTGTGATTCCACAGCTATAATATTAACCTCTGTGTAACCCCATTTCAATATCTTTAAAATGAGGATCATAGTATTTCTCCCTTTATTTGTTGTGAGGATTTGAGATAATATTTTTTTAAAGTCACGGTAATTTATTATTGCTAATGGACATAGCCAAAATTATCTGCAAACTACTGTTATCTCAATGCTAGAATGTGAATCTCTGGGTTAATTAAAGTTAAGTCTCAAGGCAGAGTACTTAGACCATGCTTGTTCAGCTTCTTATTAAGATGTCAACCCAAAGACTGAGTCTTGAGGAGACCTGCCCTCCCCAGGGAATGTTCCATATCCTAGCAGTCTTTGCCCACTCACACTAGAAGCCTGCAGGGGAAGGAGATATACAGTCCTGACAGTCAGGTCAATGGTTATATTTTTTTTATTTACGACTACTGAAGAGATGTTCCCTGAAAAGCTTTCAATGTCAGAGATGAAAATCTGCTTCCTGCTTGTCTTTGGCTCAACTTTTAATCCTAACTTGGTTTTATACTTGTTGACACCACTTCTTCCATGCCTTTTGTATTAGTCTGATTTCACACTGCTAGAAAGAACTACCCGAGACTGGGCAATTTATAAAGGAAAGAGGTTTAATGGACTCACAGTTTAGCATGGCTGGGGAAGCCTCAAGAAATTTACAATCATGGTAGAAGGTGAAGGAGAAGCAAGGCACCTTCTTCACAAGGCAGCAGGAAAGAGAATGGATGCAGAAGTAACTATCGAACACTTGGCAAAACCATCAGATCTTGTGAGAACTCACTCACTATCATGAGAACACCATGTGGGAAGCCACCACCATGATTCGATTACGTCCACTTGGTCTCTCCTTTGACAGGTGGGGATTATGGAGATTATAATTCAAGGTGAGATTTGGGTGAGGACACAACACCTAACCATATCACCTTTCAAACTAATTTTCTGAATTTATGTATACTGGTTTATGATTTGGTGTTCAGCCTGAACTTCTGAATGGTGGCCTCAGTCCTTTTATGTATGTAGTGTGTCCCTCTCCTTGCTCTTATTCTCTGATAGGAAATGATATCCAGGACTCAAACCACAGCTTTTCCCTTGACTGTCATTAATAACAGTGGCCTCTCGGCACCAGGATCTAGGCTTTATGAAGTAGCCTCTTTATGAAGTGGCCTCTCAGCAACAGGCTCTAGGCTCTGAGAAGCCCTAGGCATTCTTCCTATTCCTGTGGTGTGGTGTCCAGGGTTCGTCCTCCTGTCATGCTCTCTCTCTCTTGTGCCCTGGCAACGACAGAAAGACTCAGAATTTCAAAAGACCAATATGCAAACCACCCAACTGAATAGCAGGTTTATATCTTTGGTAAATCTCAAGGTTTTTATTTTTTATTTTATATTTTTTAGACAGAATCTTGCTCTGTTGCCCAGGCTGGAGTGCAGTGGCATGATTTTGGCTCATGGCAGCCTCTGCCTCCTGGGCTCAAGCAATTCTCCTGCCTCAGCCTCCCAAGTAGCTGGGACTACAGGTGTGCACCACCATGCCCGGCTAATTTTTGTATTTTTAGTAGAGACGGGGTTTCATCATGTTGGCCAGGCTGGTCTTGAACTCCTGACCTCATGATCTACCTGCCTCAGCCTCCCAAGGTGCTGAGATTACAGGTGTGAGCCACCGCACCCGGCCCTGAAGTTTAAACTATTGTTAATGATGTCACTTGTTGGTTTTTGCAAGGAACCAGGTGATAAATCTAAGCTTGAATTTATTTTTACTACATTTATATTCCATTTATTTCCAAAGATGATTTAAGGCAGTGTGCAGTCTAAAACATATCTACAATAGAATAACTAATGCTAAGGTTTAAAAGGAGGGGGAAAAGTACAAAAATATTCATTGAAGAAAACAAGAACCATGTTGTGAAATAGGGTCGAGATGATAGTTAAATTAGGAATATAGACTAAGTAGAATCCCTGAAGTTAAGCCTTCAACTTAGTGTAGGGTTCCTAGGAGCCAAAGCCATGTATTATATAATTCCTCTTATCAAATTAAGAGAAGTTCACAAGAGAGACAATAAGCTCCTACTTATAAACAAAGCATAACTAATTGCAAAGACCTTTATATTTTGAACACTGAAAAATAGTCATTTAATAAAGTTAAATGCTTTATTTCAGTCACATTCTAGGTATTGAGAATATAGGAGAGATTAAAGTCTAGTGCAAGAGACACACAAAAAGATAAAGCTTTATAACCCACTGGGAAAAGTTCTATGTTAGAGATACATCCTAGCTCCATGTGGTGATGTATTATAATATTTCCCAAGTGCTGTCCTGATCCAGTTTTGAATCATGGCTAAAAACCTCAATTCCCCTTCACAGGCAGTTTGCTAGACCCAACCCCAACTACTTACCTTGGTGAGAATCCAACATTCCTGGGATGCAACACACACATACCCAACTGCCAGAGTTTCCTGGATACCTAACACCCATGAATAATATCACTATCCTTGGGCTTGTGGAATTATTCCCAATCCTCAGATAGATGGTGATACTTAGCCTGCCCCTACCTTGTTACCATACATAAGCTGCCTCCTCCAGTTCTAGCTTGCTGTTACCCTAGTCCCAGGTATAACTCAATGTATAGCCCTGCATGGCAGCTCTATCTCATTTGGAGCTGTAAGTGGCAACAAGCCCTGCTTTTCGTCTGCCTGAGTGTCTTTTTGTTGTGCTCTGCCATCAAAATAATATTTAAATTTTTTAAAACAGGTGGCAAATTTGGTTTTGAGTATGTTAATAGATCTGGGAAGTCTTCTCAGGAGAGGTGAGTCCACAGTAAGCTTTGAAACACAAGTAGAAGTTAGGGACAAAGAAGTAGAGAAAGGGAGAACTTAAGAGAAGGGAGTGTTGATGTTTATCAAAACTACTGGATGAACAGATGCAGAAGCAGGTGTGTTTGGCAGATAGAACACTAAGAGGAAAAGTGTAAGGAATGTGGATCCCCTGAGTACACTTAGGGAGCTGCAAATTTTCTGGGTGTCTGAGCCTGTAGTATAAAGTATGGAGCAGAAACTTGTTACGTGCGACAGAAGTAGCCAGAAGTCAGACTCTGAATCATTTTGTAAGCCATAGTAAGGGTTTGGGGTAAATTCTAAAAGCAATTCTAAAAACAATAAGAGGTTTTAAGCATAGTAAAATAATTTTTAAATTACATCTTTGGCTCTGGAAGTAGTTTAGATAATGAGTTAAGGGGAGTAAGTATGGACGATAACCCTGGTTAAGAGGCAATTGCAAAAACATTTCTGTAAGAGATTATGAGGGCCTTAATGTAAGCAGTCATAGTGGAGATAGCTCTTGGGGAGTGTGACGGAAGAAGAGCCTATTGGTTTTACTGGAGATTAGATTTGTAAAGTCAGAGTAAGGAGATGCCATGACATTAATCTATTCATGGAGGCAGAGACCTTATGACCTAATTACCTCTTGAAGGTCCCATCTCCCAATACTATTACATTGGCAATTAAATTTCAACATGAATTTTGGCAGAGACATTCAAACCATAGTGACTCCTGGTGTACTACACTGGCCTGGAGAATAACTGGCCTGGGGTGCTGCCACTCACTAAGAAAAAAGAACAAAAGAGAAGAGAAAAGTTGGGAGCATGTGGGAATGAAGACGTGTTGAATTTTAGACTCACTAAGTTTTCCTTGCTAAGGGGACCTCCTCAAGAAGAAGCCCAGGCAGTAGCTGAGTCTGTGGGTCAACAGACAAGAAGGATTTGGTTTAGTAATTTGATTTGGACATCATTCCCTGCTAGCTACTTGTAACAGGTAAAGCTTTGCAAGTGGAAGAGATTACACAGGAGGGAGAAAAGAAAGAGCCAAATTTAGAACACTGAAAATCATTAAGATTTTGAGGATGAGTGGAGGGAAAAGACTCCATGAAAGAAGATACGCCATCACAGAGATGGGAGGGGACCAAAAGAAAGTTGTGTTCTATAATCCAAGAAAGAGAGAATGTCAAGAAGGAAGGTGCTATGGTTTGAATGTCTCTGCCAAATTTCATGTTGAAATTTAATTGCCAATGTAATCGTATTGGGAGATGGGACCTTCAAGAGGTGATTAGGTTATAAGATCTCTGCCTTCATGAATGGAATAATGCCATTATTACAGGAGTGGGCTTTGGATAAAAGGATAACTTTGGCCCCCATTCACTCTCTGCCTCACATGCCCACTTCTGCCTTCTGCCATGGGATGACCATTGCCAGATGCTGGTGCCATGCTCTTGGACTTTCCAGCCTCCAGAACTGACAGCCAAATAAACTTCTGTTCTTTTTAAATTACACCATCTCTGGTGTGTTGTTATAGCAGCAGAAAACAGACTATGATAGAAGGCAAGATCATTACTTTCAAGATATTAAGCAAAATAAGGTATGAAAAGTACTCCTTGAATTTAACAGTGTATAATTTATCAATAACCTTGGCAAAACTAGTTTTAGAGAGAAGTTTTATTTTAAGATAGAGATAAAGAAGATGGTGATAGAGGAAAAAGAAGCATGTAATGGAGCCATGTTCTAAGGAGGAGGGCAGCTGAGATCCTATCCAGAGATGGGAAGATTAGCCTGAAATTACAGCAGAGCACTTTTTCCTCAGAGTGAAGAGCAAAGTAGGCAGAGCTTAGAGTTAATTTTAAAGTTCTGGGTGGGAGTAAAAGTTGGGAGGTACCTTAGCTAAAAATTTCTATTTTCTCTGCAAAATAAAATATGTGTATTCAGTAACAGATTATGAAATCACTGAATTCTCCCCCCACCCCCCAAAAAAGATGTCTCTGTGACTTGTGTCAGAAAAATGCAAACTCTGAAATCATGCTATTCTTTTCTTGTCAGTAGCTAGAAGCTATATTGGGATACTAAATTTGGATTTAAGTTTTCTGCTCATATCTGCTATTTGCAAGCACTTATTCCTTCTGCCTCTTTTAGATGTAGGCAATACTGTTTTATGTTTAATGTCTTTCTGCACTTTGTATCCTGTAAAAATGCATAAGCTTCCTGTAGCTTGCTGCCTTCAGTGCTTTTGGAAAAAGGGAGATATAAATCTTCAACCTAGGGATAAATGAGAATGGGAGTATGTTATTATATAGTCAAAACATAGTTGTGAATATTGCTCTAAAACTCAAAAAATATCAAAAATATAAAGAAAAGGGGGGATTGTTGAAACAGTCAGTGAATGTATGCTTTTAAAATCTACTATCTTTGTCTGTTTGGCTGCTATAACAAAATACTATAGACTGGGCAGCTTATAAATATTTTTTCACAGTTCTAGAGGCTGAGAAGTCCAAGATCAAGGTACTGGCTGATTCAGTGTCTGCTAAGGGTACATCTTTTTTGTAGATTGTACCTTCTTGCTGTATCCCCATATGGTGGAAGGGGTAAACAAGCTCCCTCGGGCCTCTTTTTTATGAAGGCACTAAAGCCACTCATGAGGATTCTACCCTGGTGACTTAATCAACTCCTAAAAGTTCCCATCTCAAAATACTATAAACCTGGGGGTTAGGATTTCAACATATGAATACTAGGGTCACAAACATTCACACCATAGCAACTACTAACAAAAATGCCTAATAGAAGTAATGTGATCACCAAAGCCAATTTATACTTATGGTTTCTGACCCTTCATAATTTTACTTAGTTCTATGGCTATAGCCAAGTTCCAAGGTATGGAACTATACTAATAATATTACCTAATATTTTTTACTTGCTTGCTCTGTGTCAGGCACTGAACTAAAGATTTCACTTGCATTGTTACTTTTCCTCAACTGTCCCCTTACATATGGAGAAGCTGAGTTATTAAGCAGTTATGTCATTAGCTCAACGTCTAACACCTTGTAATATAAAAACTACATGGTAAAGTTGATCATCAGAGGAATGCAAATCAAAACTACAATGAGATATCATCTAACCCTAGTTAAAATGGCTTTTATTCAAAAGACAGGCAGTAACAAATGCTGGCGAGGATGTGGAGAAAAGGGAACCCTTGTACACTGATGGTGTAAACTATGGAGAACAGTTTGGAGGTTCCTAAAAAAAAAAAAAAAACAAAAAACACCTAAAAATTGAACTTCCATATGATCCAGCAATCCGTCTTGCTGGTATAGACCCAAAGTAAAGGAAATCAGTATATCAAAGAGCTATCTGCACTCCTATATTTGTTGCAGCCCTGTTTACAATATATACGATTTGGAAGCAACCTAAGTGTCCATCAACAGATGAATAGATAAATAAAACGTGATTCCATATACACAATGAAGTGCTCTTCAGCCATAAAAAAGAATGAGATCCAGTCATTTGCAACAATATGGATGGAACTGGAGACCACTGTGTTACGTGAAATAAACAAGGCACAAAAAGACAAATGTTGCATGTTCTCACTTATTTGTGGGATCTACAAATCAAAACAATTGAACTCACAGACATAAAGAGTAGCAGGATGGTTACCAGAGGCTGGGAAGGGTAGTTCAAGGCTGATGGGGGGAGATGGCGATGGGTGGTACAGAAAGAATGAATAAGACCTACTATTTGATAGCACAAAAGGGTGGCTCTAATCAATAATAACCTAATTGTACATGTTTAAATAACTTAAAGAGCATAATTGGATTGTTTGTCACTCAAAGGATAAATGCTTGAGAGGATGGGTGCCTCATTTTCCATGATGTGCTTATTTCACATTGCTTGCCTGTATCAAAACATCTCATGTACCCCATAAATATATACACCTACTACGTACCCACGAAATTAAAAAATAAAAAAACTAAAAAGAAATAAACAAAAACTATGTGGTAAAGCTAACATTGTTACTCTGAAAGGGGAGGAACTTTTTTCCCAAGATATACTGTTTTCAGATTAGTATCATTTTTCTCTCGATCCTAAATTCCATGGTATATTTTCATGAATGAATAATTTAAAGCTAAAGTCTTGGATTTCCAGTGGCACACAATGAAGAATCTCCCATTCTCAGTATCTCTGTATTGAACGGGTGTTCAGGTTGTGAGAAAATAATGTAGGAGTAGATACATAAATCATTAATCTAAGCCACCATTTATTGAGCATTCACTGTGTGTCAGTTACGACTTTAATCTCTTCACATGTAAGTTTATGCTATATGGTGGGTATTCTATAATGCACTATGAGATTACTTAGGGAACACAAGAAAACAAAATTAAATATTGCTTAATATTAGGGTTTTATCATTTAATGTCATATATTTTATAAAAGGAACTAGAAAAATAACTTAAAAATTATTCTGAAGGAAGACATGTAAAGATACTTGCCACATAAAGAGAAAGAAGTACAAAAAGCCAATTACCAAATGTGAAGACCACTACGCAAACATTTCATTATTTTGTTTTGTTGTAATCTCCAGTACAGAAGGTGGAGTTCATCACACCACAAGGACATTCCTTATCACTCCCTTGTCCTTTTAAGAGCCTCTCTTATTTGTTCACTTTTAACCCCAGAGCCCACTCTCAATCTTCCCAATTTCCCATGGATGATCATTATAGTATGTTACATACATTCTTCTTTATAAGGTATGTGCTCTTTCACGATGTACAACATGATTTTTGTGAATTATTATCCTGATTTTAGTAGATATAGGTATTCACATAGACATAGAGATGATATGGACTCTGAAAATCAGGGACACCCCGTAACTGGGCTAAGATCACACAACTCTTACGTGATACAGTCAGATTCAAACCTCAATCTGTCTTTATCTAAAATTGTCAGTCTTACCTTCCTGAGTCTGCAAACTGTACAAAAACTACAGAAAAAAAAGGGAAGATTTCTTAATGTGTTCCTGAAACTCAAATAGTTGTAAAAAGTTACTAAACTGGGTTAACAGTCGATGCTCTGGATGAAAAACTTAAGTTCATGATTTTTCCCTAAGGCCACAGATTGAGAATGAGACGGGCAGAGAAAAAGTGTTCCTTAAATTTAACTTTTGGGAATTAAGTTTATCATCTGCCACACAAAAGTGCTTAATCTTGAGAGGGTGATGAATCTGATAATGATGGAGAGATGCCATCAATCTGACAAACTAAACAATTTTTTTAACCTGACATGGCCCTGTTCAAGACATCAGCTGTCATCTGAAATGAATTCTGTTTCTAATTTGTCTTCATAAATAATGCAACTAATTGAAAGGTAGTTACAATGAAAGTCTTTAACCTCTTTCATATCCTATTTGAGGGCAATCTCTTTGCATTCCCTGGAAAGAATCCTTCCTCTTATCAAATAAAACTTAGACATCAGTGATCAGAACACTGAGATCAAAAACAAAAGAACTCATTGTGAAGACCACCACATCTAATAGTTTTCTCAATCTTTTTTTAAAATTAGCATTATTTTAACATGTCAAACTCATAAAAATCTGATATAAGAAAATTTATTCAAGCTCAAAGTTTTAGTAAGGACATCTTTATTTTAATCAAGCTCTTGCTGGTACACCTACCCTCTCCTTGCCACACAACTTCTGCTTAATTATCATTAAAGTATCACCATTGACTGCACCATGTCACACACTTGACCACAAACAAAATATCTAAAATCTTTAGATTATATTTTCTAGGTCATCTTTCTTCTTTTTTTTTTTTTCATTTAGTGAGACTAAAAAGGGGTCACTGGGTTCCATTGTGCAATGAATATCACATTGGACTTCTAAAAAGAGACCATTGAACAAAAACAGATCCTGATCATTCCCTGCAACTGGAAATAAAGAATTCTTGCATCAGAGACTGAAGTAATTAAAATGTTCTTTATCTAAGGTTTCTCTATGCAGACATCAGATTCCATTTGTTTATTTATGAATGCAGATGTTAATAAACCTATGTACTGAAAGCATGAAAGCAGTAAGAGAACTATGCAAGCATTAAAACTTTGAATCATTTAATTATTTCTTCCCTCTGGGAAGGCCAATTTCAGCAAATACATCAAGGGAAGAACATGATTATGAATGGAGATCTGAGCTGAGCATGTTTCATAAGGTTGTTATTAAAAATAAAAATTCAAGAAAGATTTTGTGAGGTATATCAAATTATAGCCTTACAAGTTACTTAAAATGTAAATTACACAGTTAAATACTGAAAATACGGGTAATATAAATTATTTTGGCATGTAGCCCCTGGCTCTTAAAAAACATCCTCTAATAATAAAAGCAGTTTAGTCTACATTACCATTACTTCTCATATTTAGCTATATCTACTAGCCCCTGCCTCTCAACCATGGAAAAAAACCACCATTTAACAGCTATCGAAAGACAATGTACTTTATAAAAGAGAATATCAGCAACGTTCCAAAAGCTAGAAATACTGGAACAACTTTGTTTTCCCTAACAAGCAAATCCATCTGGGTGAAGTCCTTATATTTTTTATATTCTAATAGGTTATATTTAAGTAATACAATGTGCAAGGGAATATTCTAACTATTTTGCAAGTACTATGTATAAAAATAGAAGAGCAAAATGAAGATAGACTAGAGGAAGGGTGAATAAAGGAGAACAGAGGAGAGACACAGATGATAACTCCAAGTCAGAACCCTGGTACCCAGAGTGAAAGTAACAGAGAAGCAGCAATTGAAAGTGAAAATTGCACTGTCATGAACTCAAAAGGAAGATTTAGAAAAATTAGTGGTTAACAGCTATCAAGAAGAGAACGGAAAAGATTCCACTTGAAGTTGACAATTAAAAGGTCATCAGTGTCTTTCATTTAGTCTGAAACCCAATTATACATTCATAAGTCTATATATTATGATGTATTATTAAACCAACACAAATAAAATTGCTTGATATTTCAGATAAGAGAGAATGCCTTTGGCTGTTGTAACCAGAGAAAGCATTACAGGTCATTTGACATGGAACATAGTAAGTGTAGTTTTGATAGGCAAAGACTTGGGGGTGAGCTAATTTTTAGGCTAAGAGTAAAGCAAAGTGCAGAAGCAGAAAAGGGCATGGCTTACTTAGAGAACTGAGAGTAGCCAGGTTTTGTTGGAGCATATCACAGAAATGTAGGAGAGAAGTGATAAGATTGAACTGACAAGAGATGATATAAAGTAGATTTATTTCTTCAGTAGCTACCTTAAAAATACATTGTTTTAACCCTTAGCTGTGTTTACTAAAATGTAATGTAAGAATTTCTTTTAGCAGTGCTTTCATGATTTATCTTAGTCTTTTAAAACATATTGAACAGACGAGACAGGCAGATCACATGAGGCCAGGAGTTCCAGACCAGCCTGGCCAACTTGGTGAAACCTCATCTCTACTAAAAATACAAAAAATTAGCCAGGCGTGGTGGTGCGCACCTGTAGAAAAAGTGCTTGGGAGGCTGAGGCAGGAGAATCACTTGAGCCCAGGAAGCGGAGGCTGCAGTGAGCAAAGATCACATCATTGCACTCCAACTTGGGTGACAGACAGAGACTCTCTCAAAATAAAACAAAACAAAATTGAACAGAAGTTATTTGAGGTCATAGGATCAGGAGTGAGATTAGCCAGGATTTCCTGAAGACTAAATTTTTCTTTCTCACAGTAATTTACTTACTTGATCTCTTTCTCTCTCAGACTTTCTATCTCTAAGATAGGAAATTGGACTATCATAATCCTTGGGTCCCCTCCAGATATTATTCTGTGATATGGAAAACAGTATTGTCACAAAAGCACCGAAGTTTTTTTTTTTTTTCAAGAAGAAATGCAAGTTACTCATTCATTTTTATTAAACTAGATCACAAAATTCTCACACTGCTTTTATGCTTGTACTCTATAGAGCTGAGTTATTTCAACACTTTTTAAATAAAATTAGAGCTCTATAAAATAGTTATGCCTGATTCAGTAGAATTTTTAAAATACAAGTTAGCAGATTATTTATAATGAACTAGTAATTTTAGAAACTGTAAAATTATAATACCTTAGTGATGAAGTAATTTTAAGCCCAATTGTCCAATTTCTGTTTTGCACAGGAGGCAGCCAGGGTGTAGAGAGATTAAATGACTTGCTTAAGCTCACATGCCAACTTGAATTTTATTGTGCCACAGTCCCGAGACCACATAGATGAGATTCAGTGTTCACTAATCTGAATATAAATTTCTCTGTCTTTCTGATGATTGCTAAAATCTATTTTCCATCTTTTAAACTGTTGGTCTCCACATAAAAGAAAATTTAAAAATATAAAAATTATTCCATAATATGCATGTTAAGGGAGAACACCAATAGCAAAGCAAATGTGGCAAGAATTCCACTTTTGTTTGCTTCCCCATGCTGTGTCTGCACCCTTCCATCAACAAAATGCAGCTACTTTCACTTGCTGTGATGCTCCTCATACGTGGGGCATGCTTTCAGGCTGGTTTTCCTGATGTTCTTTCAGGAGAAATGACAGTGGGTCAGGAGTCATGCTTCTCAAGGACAGGGACTGAGGTTCCTAGCCTCAAATCCCATTATAAAGAAAGCTGTTGAGAGAAGCATTCACTGCACAACTTTGCATCAGACTATATGACAGTATCATGAGACAATAACATGATATAACAATGTCATGAGATCCTTCTCCTACATACTTTTTAAGAAGTGACATCATAATGACAAAAATATATGTGGGGTATTTTGGGGGTGCCATAGACATCTTAAAGAATCTGAGCAAAGGCCCTGGCCTCCAAAGCAATGACACATTCCAAAAATTTGCTGACAAGTCCATGGGTTCAAACTGTGGTCCACTAAACAAAGATCCCCAGATTTATTGCAATCCCATTGTATCAGCAGTCCAAGCAACTTGTATGGTGAGCCACATGCCCCATGCACTCATACTTCCTGCCACCTTAGCCAGCTGCCATGGACTCCTTCCCTTACACCACTCTATGCTGCTTGATTGTTCTGACGGAGGCTGACTGTTCTGCACTGCACACACACCACTACAAGAGCACAGCCCTGAGAAAGGAGACCCTTTTGAAATGAAGTCATCTGAAACTCTGTAAGTGTCTGTGTGTGGGGAGTTTACTTTATTGTAGCTTTGATGAAGATAAAGTACAAAAAGCACCAGAGGCTCTAACTCAAAAAGTCACACTAGTCTTATCCTATGACTAATAAGCAGAATGGGGAAAAGGAAAGAAAAGAAGGAAAGGAGGAAGGAAGAAATGGAGGCACTTAATTTCAAGTAGTCTAATGTATGAAATCACAACATTTCATAACTTTATCTTCTTCTCTGTGACTCTACCGTGAATCATAATAAACTTCCATCTACTACAATCTCCCATTAAACACCAACCACCATATTCAGCTTTCTACCAGGTAAAAAATCTCAACGGAAATGTGAGATAATTCAATGGTTTTTTTTTTTTTTTTTTTTAAATCACTATTAGTGGAGAGCAGTTTGGAGATATCTCAAAGAACTAAAAGTAGGACTATCATTCGACCTAGTAATCCCATTACTGGGTATACACCCAAAGGAAACTAAATTCTCCAACCAAAAAGATATGTTCACTCGAATGTTCATTGCAGCAGTACTCACAATAGCAAAGACGTGAAATCAACCCAGATGCCCATCAGTGGTGGACTGCATAAAGAAAATGTGGTACATATACACCATGGAGTACTATGCAGCCATGTACAAGAACAAAACCATATCCTTTGCAGTAACATGGATGTAGTTGGAGGCCATTATCCTAAGTGAATTAATACAGAAACAGAGAACTAAATACCACATACTTTTCACTTATAAGTGGGAGCTAAACATTGGATGCACTTGGACATAAAGATGGGAACAATAGACATGGGGAACTAATTGTTGAGGGGAAGAGTTGAAAAACTACCTGTTGAGTACTATGGTCACTGCCTAAGTGATGGGATCAATTGCACCCCAAACCTCAGCATCACACAGTATTCCCATGTAACAAACCTGCACATACCCCATGAATCTAAAATAAAAGCTGAAATTTCAAAAATAGATAAATAAATTAATGTAAAAAAAAAACTTACCCTGTTTACAAGATAGCCTGGAATACAGACCAGCCTGAAAGTCAATTCTCTGCAATAAACCCTTTCTTTCAGAACAAATAAGCAAATAGTTATTGTTCTTAATCTTACACATTATTTATGTTTCAATACAAAGTGCTTAAGTTATTCTTGGGCTCCTTTTAAAAAGACTGCTGTAAATGTAAGCTGTATCAGCTGAAATTCTTAAGACCACCCTTTGAAACCAAAACTTCAGTGTATTAAGTGGAAAAGGCATCAAAATTTTTGCAAGGGTCAAGTGCTGGGCTTTTAGTTCAGTAACTTCTGTAGAATGGTATCAAGGGGTTAAACACTTTAAATGACGGCAATCATTAACTCTACATTTCTTAATAGCTTAATTCACTCGAGATATATATATATATATATATATATATATATATATAAAATGGGAGATTTATATGTGTTATCAGTATGCATATATAAATTTAATTTTTCCCTATGTTAAGATTCTGCATAAGGAGATCAGCATATGGAGCTGCAAGTAAGCTATTATCATAGTGCCCATGTATATGTACAATAATAATTAGCTTTAAAGGAATAGAAAGAGAAAAGATAACCTACAATATCCTTGTCAAACTCCACTTTTGACCTGATGTCCTTAAAAATTTTTGAAAATTCAAGGACAGTGATGGAAAGGAATAAGGGAAGAGCTTAATGATTTTACTAAGAAATAACTAGGAACTGCCAAATTAATTATACCTATAAATACAATTTAGTTGGTGACTAGAGTGTTTATTTTGCCTTATCACAAAGACCAGATATTGTAGATTCATATAAATCACTATTTGGCAAAAAATTTTTAAATCAGAAACAAAAATTTACCAGGTCAACTTTTACTGATAAATATCCCATCTGCATGTATCAATAATCCTGCTGCTCTTATGTATTTTGTGATTGAGAGACATTATGGTGGCAGTTTAAAGATGTTACTAGCTGGAGACTTTACAGATTGGAAATGAGGATGGAAAGGGATTCTTCCAGCTAAAACCAGTAATCCCACAAAAAGAAAGGGTTGTTTTGATTTAAACATGCGTGTATTAATGTCCCCCAACCTGTGCTTGCTGTCGATACAATCATTATGATATTGAGCTCCTTGAAGCCTAGGATATGACTTTAGTTTGTATCTTCACTTGACTTCAAGAATTTTTTTTCTTTTTCTCTCAGAACCTGTTTTCTCATATCAAAATCAGACCTACAAATAGGACTTCTTTACCTGTTTGCATTGCCTTTTTTTTTTTAATTTCTTAAAAGATAGGCTAAGAAGAAGAAGGAGGGGTATATGTTATAAAGCTAGTTGAAATTGGCTGATTTCGATTCCAAGTTTCATAATTATCGCCTACATTGTAAGATACTGACAATTTTGTATGGATGAACTAGTTAACAAACTCTATAAACAAAAAGCCAGTAATTAAATTGTGCTGTACAATGTGCTCCTTTTTTAATATAAATATTTTCAAAAGGGACCTGGAGAGGAAGTTAGAATGCAATTTTATGTGATCTGAGAATCATCACTTAATGAAAAAAGAATATTTATGTAAATTACTTCAGTTAAAACAACAAGGAGCATTTACAAGTCATACAGGAAACATAGCATTTTTAAAGTTTTTTTTCTGTTTATGAAAGTCCCATATGCTCATTTTAAGAAATTTAGAAAATTCAGAAAAATACAAACACAAAAAATAATAATCCTACTACCCACAAATAGTATTAAGAAATTTTGATGCACAATGAACATACAGAATTTCAGATTTCACATGTGTAGTTTTAACTGAGCTTGAACAGTCCTAATATATTTGGCATATAATCTGCTATAATTTTGCTGGGGCTTGAATTCTAATCGGGGGTTCTGAGTCCAGTTCTTTCCAGTCAGGGGGTTCTGAGTCCAGTTCTTTCTAGTCTAAAATGAGTGACATTGTTGCTAGTAATTATAATGGCCCAGTATCTTCACTTTATTGTAGTTCTGTGCTGTGCTTGTATATAAGCAACAACTAACAAATGTGTACTCTACTGTATATGGCAGAAATTACATGCTACAGAAATATTTACATATTTGGGGATTCAAGGTTTGCTTCTGAATGTTAATTTCTATATCTCCTTCCCCACTTTTTGTCTGGTAGTCTTTTAATAGCAAAATATATTTTTTAAAAAAATCCTAAGGGATAGAATTGTACTCAAAACTGTCAGCTTCTATAGATATTTTCACAATAGAACAACCTTTCCTTCCTGCCTCTACATGGGCAGGTCGATTTTCATTGAAAACAGCTTCAAGCTGGTTCTAATATTTACTCACTTATGCAGGTGCGTTCATCAGCATGCAGTCTCTATCCCGTATCACATTCACAGTGGAAGGTGCCCAGAGTGTTAATACAGCGCTGCTGGCAGCCTCCATTCACCACTGCACGTTCATCGACATCTAGAGGAGGAAGACAGATGGTCAGGATTACAATGTCGTTCCAATGTCAGCTTCGAAGAAGTGGCACAATATTTCTTTGATACACAGTATGTGTTATATTATACAAAGGCACCATCTCTGTTGCCACAAATCTTTGCTTGTTTGATCCATTTTGCTTCATCGTGTAAACAAGAAAATGTACCTAGAAACTTTATCGAGCTTTTTAAAGCCCATCAATGATGAGCATAGGGATTGCTCGTAATTTTCTATTCTTCAAATATTGGTTAATTAGACAGATCTGAGATGTAGGTATTTCCTTGGGGAAGGAAAACTGGAGGGGAGAATTACAATAAGCTACTCTATCAGGAGCAGCACACGCTGGTAGATAAACACCTATTATTGGTCTGGCACTGCTGAATAAAGCCAGTAATAGAGTCAAGACCTTGAATCTCCCTCTCATGTGCTATGAGGAACATCAGGGCAGAGATAGATAAATTAAAATGAAACCATGGTTTGGTGTTCTTAAAAATATACATTTGTGTCATTGATTCAACTTCTTCCTTCTCACTCAAGATGCCATTTTCTGAAATACCATGTTTATATGAGTGGTTACTTTAATTTTATAAAAAATAGCAAGTGGTCAAGATTCATGATCACCTATGTCTTATGATCAGCCAAGGTCATGATAAATGAATATGATCTTCATCTTCTGTTAGAAAAGAAAAATCAATTTCTCTCTCAGAAGCTACACTTCCTTGTACCCTGTGTAATCAGTACTTGTGTGTCTAAAATCACAAAAAGAAAATATCCATAAACCTAGGGAGGTATTTTCAGGTGGCTGGTGGATAGAGAAATTCTGAATGTTCTTGTTTGGGGATTTATTTTTAAATAAAAACCTATGGCTTTTGACAAGTTTCAAAGAAATAATCATCTTTCAGGAAGGTGGAGACTTAGCATAGGAACGCATGTGTCTAACGGATAGAATGCCTGCTAATGGATAGTATTCCCTGCTCCCAATCTCAGATATTCCAGCAAGAATATTGGGAATGAATATTCTTCACTAAAATATAGTCAGCCTACTAGACAATCAGCATTACAACGAGCAGCATTAATTCCACACGGCAAGATCCTTATTCAAGAAGACATCAAAATGGAGAAGTATTACTATTGCAATGACTCATCATAGCACCTTTTCAGGCTAAAATCCTATGATCTGTAATGAGTGCTTTGTACTGTAATAAAGACTAGAGGATATGACCTGAGGGAAGCAAAAGAGTTTTCTCTTAATTGGCATTGAATTAAGAGACAAAATATATAAAAAGAGGATATTAAGTCATCAAATAAGTCCCATATTTAAAAACTACTAGTTCACTCTATTTTACAATTTTATACAATTTAGTATTTTCCTTCAAAAAGTAGATATTCTGGTATAATTCCTGATATTTTCAAAGGAATCTTATTTTAAAGATAAGAATTACTGACTTTACAAAGTGCTAGGATTTTTATTATGTTTTGAGTCTGTGATAACCAACCTCTAGGTCTTTTTCATATGAACTAATGTTAAACCAGAATTCTCTATGTGTTACTTGTATTTTTACGCAGGGCTCAATATTTATGATGGCTAAATTTTTATCTTTCTGACTTTATGGTATTATTCTGTGGAGTTAAGATATAATTTTGAATCTTAATTTTGTCAACCCCCGAATTAGATATCCTTCCCAGGTTTTAAAATTTTAGACATAAGTAAAACTCTTAATTTTCAAGCATACTAAGCTTTAGATCACAAATGATTTTTGCCATCCTCAAGAGTTATTGCAATGTGCCATATATATTTAAATACATTGGGAAATGTCTTAAAGGATGCTACTTCTGATGGGGGAGAAAAGGTGTTCAAACGGGTTTAGTGCAGGGTGTGCATGGGGCTGTGCTGGACACAAAGATTTTAGTCATATCTATGATGTTCTAATTTTTTACAGGAAAAAGTTATCCAGTTGTTATTTATGCAATGAAAACAAATTTTAAAGAAACCAATATAGTATGACCACCTCCCTTGACCCACCCACCGAACTTCAATAGTTTTCTGACAAAAGAAACAAAGTTAGTGAAAATAAGAAAAATCACTGAGTCCATTCCAAAGGTAAGAGTGGGCATAGATTTTGAGAATGAATGTTCTTTTTAATATGTTTTAATGTGTTCATATTCTTTTTCTTTTTTTTTTTTTTTTGAGACACAGTCTCGCTGTGTCACCCAGGCTGGAGTGCAGTGGTGTGATCTTGGCTCATTGCAACCTCCACCCACCGAGTTCAAGTGATTCTTCTGTCTCAGCCTACTGAGTAGGTGGGATTACAGGTGCATGCCACCACACCTGGCTAATTTTTGTATTTTTAGTAGAGACGGGGTTTCACCATGCTGGCCAGGCTGGTCTCAAACTCCTGGCCTCAGGTGATCCACCCAGCTTGGCCTCCCAAAGTGCTGGGATTACTGCGTGAACCATTGCACGCAGCCTAACATGTTTATATTCTTAATCTGTCCTAGAATTTTAATTAAAGTACTATACTATAGTTGAAATAAGCATGCACACACACACACACACACACACACACACACACACACACCAAACTTCCTCTGTATTTTGAGTCAAATAGTCTTGGGAAAAACAGTGTTCGAACTTATTAGCCAGTTACCTTGTCTCTCTGAGACTCAGTTTCCCCATCTATAAAATGAGATGATAGTGATGGCCACATGTACTGTGCTGTGATTTTTTTCCTATTCATATGTAAGATTTTGGCATATGGTAATGCTTGAGATTATATGTAGAAATTAAATAATATTTTTATTCCACTAACTAGTAGAGCTAACAATATAAGACCATGAAGTGAGAGTGCATGGCAGGAGCAGTGAACAATATAGAAATCCAGAGGCAAGAAGTCCATTAGGCTTAGGGGAAAAATGAAAATTGAGTGCATGGAGAGCAGGGTGGACAATCCAAAAGTACAGTGGTTTATCTGAAATTTAGCATTTAGCTCTGTCAAGCTGGAGAATAAGGTCACCAAAGGGAAGTAAAATTGAAAAACAAACGTAAGTCTCCTTTTATTTAATTTGGATGGTAAAGCATTTCTCTTCTTGATTTAAAATACAATACATTTCTGGGCAGGTTGAGACATAATAGGCTGTGTTCACACCATAGCAAAGCAAACTTATTAAAAGTTAAAAAAAATCAATCATTTATAGAGTGGGACCAAATACTAAGTAATTGGTTTGACTTCTTTTTTCTTTTTGCCCTTTCAGAATACACTGAATTTACTGATTGGGCATTGTGTAATCAAAAGTCCTCAAACTTGGCAGCACATTAGAACCACTTGGTGAGCATCAAAAAATACCAGTGCCAGGGTCCCACCCTTACAGGGTCTGATTTAATTGGGCATGGCTAAGGCCTGTGTATCAAAACATTTTTAAAGCACCCTAAGTGATTCTAATGTGTAGTCAGAGTTAAGATTGCCTGGTGCAGTAAGTGTTTTAATTACCTAGGGATTTTGTTAAAATGCAGATGCTGATTTAGTAGATCTGCAACTGAGGTCTGAGATTCTGCATTTCTAACTAGATCCAAGGTAATTCTGATGTACTGGACTGTGGACCATAAATTCCAACTAGCAAGAGTGTAGAAAGTAGTCTGTTTAACCTCAATGTCACATGAATCACAAATGTCATAA